>NC_000021.9:43262462-43468160 GCF_000001405.40 Homo sapiens
GGGGATGGTGATGGTGCTGGTGGGAGTGAAGGTAGTGGTGGTGGTGATGGTGGTGGTGATGGTGGGAGTGAAGGTAGTGGTGGTGGGGATGGTGATGGTGCTGGTGGGAGTGAAGGTAGTGGTGGTGATGGTGGTGGTGGTGGTGGTGGTGATGGTGATGGTGGTGGTGGGAGTGAAGGTGGTGGTGGTGGTGATGGTGGTGGTGGTGGGAGTGAAAGTGGTGGTGGTGGTGGTGGGAGTGAAGGTAGTGGTGGTGGTGATGGTGGTGGTGGTGGTGGGAGTGAAGGTGGTGGTGGTGGTGATCGTGATGGTGGTGGTGGGAGTGAAGGTGGTGGTGGTGATGGTGGTGATACTGGTTGTAGTGATGGTAGTGATGGTGGTGATCGTGAGGGTGATGCTGGTGGTGATGGGAACAGTGACAGTTGTATTGGTGGTAGTATTGGTGATGGGGTGGGAATGGTGAGAAGCCAAACTGAGATGGATCGAGGGAGCTGGAGCAAATGCATTCAGCACTCACTGCTGAACTGAATGATGACCCTGGGTGAAACTAGTCCCTAGGTGAACCTCTCTAGTGTACCTTTTTTTTTTGCTTGAAAACTTTATTAAAATAAGGATTAAACCTGAAAAAAGAACAATCAGAATGCCAGCCCTTTATATAAAATCAGCAAGAAAAAGGAAAGAGAGAGAGAAACAGAGAATAGTGTACTTTTTATGAGTCAGGTTAGCCTAGAAGTTAAGAAGTGGGCTCCCCTGCAGGTCAAATTTAGGTTCTGTCAATTATTAGCTGTCTGACCTTAGAAAGGTTACTTGACCTCTCTGAGACCCAGCTTCACCATTTGCTAATGGGGACACTGGCACCTGCCTGGGGGCGGTGGAACAGACTGTGTTTGCAGGGTGCCTGATCGGACACTGAAGCACCTCAGTTGATGGAAACTGCTGCTGTGACTCTTCGGCCTAGAGTCAAACCTGCAGAGCCAGGAGGTTCCATTGCAAAGCATCGGCCAAGGCTGTCACAGGGGTGCCCCCTGGGCCCCTCCTATCTTTACTACCCCAGCAATACAGTCTGGTGGTATTCGTGGCCCACTTCATGTTGCTATGACTTGGAGATGTAGCAGAAGGTGAGCGGGCTTGCCTCTCCAGTGCTTCACGCTCTCATTCCAGCTGTGCCTTCACCCCCATGTCCTCCGAAACTGACACAATCACATCTCTAGCATCTCAGCTTCTGCATCTGTAAAATGGGATGAGAGTTGCAATCCTTACCCGAGAGCTGTGGTGAGGATCAAAGGGACAATGGTCACACCTGTAAAAGAGAGAGGAGGATCCTGCGGTAGGTGGCCACACCATGGCCATCGTTGTTACCACAGTTGTCGCCTCCCTCATAGGATGCTGTGATCTCGGAGAGTTGGAGACCTCTTATGCTGATGAGCACTTGGGCCCTGGCCAGCTGGACCAGGCTACCCCCACAGGTACACGGCATCTGGTGTTTTCACAGCCAGGGTACAATGAGAGAGGAAGGTGTGGGCCCTGAGGCCTCTGGTGGTGGGTTGAGAGAAATGTGTGTGCCAGTCTCCATGCCCACATCCATGGAGCCCTCAGTTGACTAGAGCCCTCCCCTTCCCCTGGGGAGGGGAAGGAAGACACACTGGGAGAGGACTGGCCCAGGAACTTCCTTCAAGGACAAGGGACGAAAGCTGAGCCTTTAGTGGTAATTCAAGTTGCACCCTCTGAGCAGAGCCCCATGCAGGCCAAGCCATGCCAACATGGGCTGGTTTGGAGACTGCGTTTGTTTGTAGGTGGCATTGGCCTCAATGGCTCAATCTAGTATTTTTCTCACCCAACGAGTCTGGAGGTCGAGGCTTGTCTCATTTGTGTCCTTGGGATTGTAATTTATGGAGGTAACTGAATGAGAACGCAGAGAAGCCAATCCCATTGAAAGAAGAATTTGTTACTCACAGGTCCTGAGATGGGGGGCATGCCATGCCACGCAGGGCTGTATGGGGAGCAGCAGTTTTGGACAGAAGGCAGAAATGGGCAAGGAGAGGGCACAGGCCAGAGTATGTATTGGGGTTTCCTCGGGAAATGTAGAGCGGGGAACAGCTCAGGATCTGCTAATTCGAGTAATTCCGGCATGCTTTGGGCTCTAGGGGAGGTCTCTAGTTGCCTGGCACCTGGCCCTGGGATGATTTAGAGCAGGGGCATTATTGGCCTGGTGTATGAGAGTTAAACAGAGGTAGTCGTGTGCATAGACTCAGGATTGGTTGGTTTGTAAATAAGAAGCCCAGGACTGCCCTTCAGTATCTCTCAGAGTTGGGTAGCCCTGGGAAGGCCAGTCTCTCCCTGGCCAGCAAGACTTTTAAGATGTCAAACATCCCAGCTACATGGGAGGCTGAGGCAGGAGAATCGCTTGAACCCAGGAGGCCGAGATTGCAGTAAGCCAAGATCGCGCCACTGCACTCCAGGCTGGCAACTGAGTGAGATTCCATCTAAAAAAAAATAAATAAATAAGTCAGACATCATAAGATATAGAAAATAAAAAAACAGGCAGGGCATGGTGGCTCATGCCTGTAATCCCAGCACTTTGGGAGGCTGAAGCAGGCAGATCACTAAAGGTCAGGAGTTTGAGACCAGCCTGGCCAACATGGTGAAACCCTGTCTCTACTAAAGATACAAAAATTAGCCGCGTGTGGTGGCGGGCACCTGTAATCTCAGTTATTTGGGAGGCTGAGGAAGGAGATTTGCTTGAACCTGGGAGGCGGAGGTTGCAGTAAGCTGAGATCACGCCACTGCACTCTGTTCTGGGTGACAGAGTGAGACTCCATCAAAAGAAAAAAAGAAAAGAAAAGAGAAAACGTGAATACAAGGCTCCACATGCCACCAGGGACCCAGGACCTGTCTATTTTTCCAGCCACTCCTAGTGGGGTTTTAGTGGAGGTGCTTGGCTGCTTCATGGTTGCAAGATGGCTGCTCTGTCCCAGCCTTTAGTCCTTTGTCCAGGCAGCAAAGGGCAAAGGGAAAGGCATGTCCCAGCAGAGTCTGTTTCTTTTGAAGCAGATTTCTCCACGGCCCCCTCAACCCAAACTCAGTGCTCCTCTCTGCACGGTCACGTGCACTCCTAGATGCAAATGAGGCTGGGGATGTAGGGCTTTTAGTTGGACATTTGAGGGGCTAAAGTGGAGGATGGGTACAGGGTCATCCCTGGGAGTTTCGGCTGTGGCCTCTGTGAGTGCCCTGGGACTGCTACACTAATTACCAGGGACTTGGAAACTGAGGGCAACTGAAATTTGCTCTCATGTTCTCAAGGCCAGAAGCACAAAGTCAAGGTGTGAGGGGCCCTGCCCCTCTGAAAATTCCAGAAGAGGGTCCTTCGTTGTCTCCTCCAGCTTCAGGAGGCTAGTCATTCCTTGACTTGGGGCCACGTCACTCCAGCCTCCGCTCACTCCGTCTGCAGTGGCTTTCTCCTCTGACTGCGCCTCTGTGTCTTCTCTTCTGTTTGTCTCAGGTCCCCTTCTGCTTTTTTCTTTTTTGTGGGGGACAGTCTCACTCTGTCACCCAGGCTGGAGTGCAATGGCGCGATCTCGCTCACTGCAACCTCTGCCTCCTGGGTTCAAGCGATTCTTCTGCCTCAGCCTCCCGAGTACCTGGGACTACAGGTGCCCACCACCAAGCCCAGCTAATTTTTGCATTTTTAGTAGAGACAGGGTTTCACCATGTTGGCCAGGCTGGTCTTGAACTCCTGACCTCAGGTGATCCGCCTGCCTCGGCCTCCCAAAGTGCTGGGATTACAGGCATGAGTCACCACACCTGGTCTGCTTTTCTCTTATAAGAACACTTGCTCTTGGATTTAGGGTCCACCCAGATAATCCGTGGTGACCTCATTTCCAGATCTTTAATTTAAAAACATCTGTAAAAGCCCTTTCCAAATAAGTCACATGCACAAGTTCTGGGGGTTAGGATGTGGATTTACCTTCCTGGGGGGCCACCATTCAACCCACTACAGCCGCCTTCCCAAAACAGCCCCTAAGATCCAGTTGCTGGGTGCCTGTTATATGCGAGGTGCCAGGGCTCTGGGTGCTCTCTCAACAGCCCTACCAGGCAGCCACTGAAACCCACTTTACAATGAGGAAAGAAAGGCTGAGGAGCAGGATCCAAACCTAGAACCTCAGTCCATGACCTTTCTCCTACTTTCCACCCCAATTGTGCAAGAAAAGTCTTTGCAAACTGTGATCACAATGAAAAAAATACTCCTTCTTATTCTCGTGCTCACAAGCCCAGCCCAGATCCCATTTCTTGTGTGTGTTTTTTTGTTTTGTTTTGTTTTTTTTTTGAGACAGAGTTTCACTCTTGTTGTGCAATGGCGTGATCTCAGCTCACTGCAACCTCCTCCCAGGTTCAAGCGATTCTCCTGCCTCAGCCTTCCAAGTAGCTGAGATTACAGGCACCCACCACTATGCCTGGCTAACTTTTTGTACTATTAGTAAAGATGGGGTTTCCCCATGTTGCCCAGGCTGGTCTCGAACTCCTGACCTCAGGTGATCTGCCCACCTTGGCCTCCCAAAGTGCTGGGATTACAGGCCTGAGCCACTGTACCCAGTTCTCAGGTTTTTTAATGGTTTGTTCAAGTTCTGGTGAGCACGCAGGCCAGTAGCAGTGAATGGCAAGGCAGGGCTGTCTTTCTTCTTTCCAGTTCTCTCCCTGCTCAGCTCCTCCTCTTGGCCTCAGGTCCTTCAGAAACCCCCTGAAGTTCCCTGCAGGGGTGGGCACATGGGCTGGTGCTCTCTGAACAGGGCCACCTGGGATCCCCAGCTGTACCCCTGGCCTCCTGCTGGCCCTGGGACATCAGGCCTTGCTTCTCAGTGTCCCTCAGTACTGTTTCAGGGCACCCCTTGTAGGCTCTGCTCGTTGAAACGGGGCCTGCTCTCCAAGCTTCTCAATTTCAGAAATCTTCGGCAGCTTGGGGACATTCAAGGTCACCCTGGGCTCCCAAAGTCACAGCCACCCACCTCCAAGAAGCCCTGCAGTCCTGCAAACGAGAAGGAAACAGTACTTCTTCCCTTCCCTGAGCTTCCACGGGCTTTGTTCCCCTCCACATGGGAGGCGCCTCTGCTGAAAAGGCCGGCCTGATACCTGCAGACAATTCCATTGGCCACAGCCAAGTTTCCACGTCAGGAGGCTGTGGGCTGGGGGTGGCAGCACTGGGTCCTGGGGGCCGCGTGGAAGCTTCTCAGAGGGAGGGCAGCTTTTAGGGATTTGATGGTGAGACGTAGTTGGCTTCAATTTTCTAAATTGATCCTTCAACTCCTAAGTAAAAGGAAAGCACGAGTTCCTGCCACGTGCCAGGTGGGGGTTCCGCTGGGCCTTTTCAGAGACCGTCATTAAGTTCTTTTCAGCTGCTGCCAGTCAGATGCCGTGGGCCCCACTTCCAGGCTGTGGTCTGTCATTATCTGTCATTAGCAGCTGTACCTGCAGAGGACTTGAGGTTCCTGGAGCTGTCCCAAGGACCACACGCCAGCTGCCTGGCACCATGGGCTTTGCTCATGGCCTGGCTCTGGGCTCTAAGGGCTTGTTGGGGGACTGAACAGGGCCCTGCTCCCTGAGGGACCTCAGAGGAAGCACTGGGATGAGCATCTGGGAGAACAGTCTGACTGAGATTGTCCCCTCCCCAGCCAACAGGCTTCCAGGGTCAGTTGGAACACCATGTTTCTTTGCTACAGGGGCCCCTTCTCCCTTAGTGGTCCTGAGGAAGCCAGAGCCACATAGCATGGGCTGTGACGGCCCCCTTAACAGCCAGCACCCATGCGTGTCCTTTAGCCCAATAGCGCTGATACCACAGGGACCGGCCTGCATTCTCACCCTGGCTGGTGGGGGAGGGAAGCAGGGTGCAAGGTGCGGCACACAGCTCCTGTCCCAACAAAGAGGGGCCTTCTTCCACCAGCTCATGGCAGGACAGCTTCTCACATTCATTCCTGCTCCTTCCTATCTGCTGCTTCAAAATATGAACAGGACATTGATGAGCAAAAGTAACAGAGGCTCCTGAACCAGCTGAGAGCAGCTCCCTTCCTCCCTGGGGCCGCCCCACTGGCAGTCCTGATGTGCAGAAGGCACCAAATGGATGCTTGCCAATAGTGAAGAAGAGAGACAGAGGGTGACGGGCACGCACACACACACACGCACTCTCCAGGCTAGAGCAACACACATCACCAGGGAGCTGCTGGAGGGAGGGAGCACCCCAGGCTTCTGCCCTCCTTTCTCTCTACATCTTGAAGGTGGGGGCAGGGGGCCTTTTTGACATCACCCAGCATAAGAAATCCTGCCCTCCCATTTCCAGCTGAGTTGCCAGAGCTTCCCTCCGGGTTGGGGAGAGGGAAGACGGGGGCAGCTCCAGGCAGCCTGACATGAGGCTCCGCTGCTGCTTGGGGCGACCAGGCAGGTCCCCCACTGGTAAGCCAAGGAGCCAACTGACCCCCACCCACATCCATCCTGCCCAGGCATCACCGTCAGCCCCTTGGAGTAACTGTTCCTGACCTCAGAAGCCCGATGTGGCCACGGGCTGCCCCATCTCTCCGGGTGAGGGGGGCACACACCCGCCATGGCATTGGCCATGGATGGGCCACAGTGCTCTCTGCTGGTGAAGTGCATCCCTGGGCTCCCCCGGGCACGCCTCTGGTGGGGGGCTGTGGTCAGGACAGCGAGTCCCTGGGTGGCTGTTGGAGCAGCCTGGGATTTCATTCATTCATTCATTCATTTATTTCTGGCTTGGGCGCTCCATCCATCGGAGCTTTTAGCCCTTTGTCCACACTTCCCGAGGATTGGTTCCAGGGGTCTGCTGGCAGCTCCAGGTCAGCTGCATTGACCATGATGCCTCCTGGGCCTCTGGGGTCTTTGGGAGCCTGTCCCCTCTTCCATCATTGTCCCCGAAGCTGCCTTTCACAGGGGCCTTGAGGGTCCAGACTCATTAAAGTTGGCAATGCCCTTACTGTCCACACATTGTTACCGGCTCCCCAGAGGAAACCACGAAGGGAACTGCCCATGCTTGCAAAGAAGGGCACGTGGACTTTTAAACCCTCTGGTCACCTTCCAAGTCCCTTTGGCCCAAAGAGTGCTGCAAGGGGGCATGTGCCTGGCAGAGCTGCACCCTGCTGGCTGCCCTCCAGTGCAGACCCACCGTGCAAGACTCCGCCCCTCCAGAGACTGTGCCCCCTGGTGGAGGCATCCTCAGGAGCCTCCTGGGCTTCCTTCCTCCATCTGCCTCCTTGAGTGGAAGCGACGGGCCCCAGGTGAGAGGCTCCGCATGGCTGGAGGCTGAGGAGAGGCCAGCACCTGCTTCCCGCAGAGGGAGGGGAGGCCTCCTGTCTGCACAAACCGACCTTGCAAATTGGTGGCCAGAGGCGGTGGGTGTTTGCTGAGCTGCTGGTGCCTAAACCAGGCAACTCCCAAGTCTCTGGCAAGGGCTGGGGCTGAACAGAAGGATTACGATTGCTCCCTTGAAATATTTAACCTTTGCTCCCAGCAGTCAGAAGGCCAATGAAACCAGGAGAGAAAACACCAAGGTAACAGGAGTCTTCCAAAACTGCGATGCGATTTGGCCTGGAGGGGCTGAGTGCTTTTTCTTCTTTCTGCTCTTCTTGCTCTTGGAACGGCTACAATGCACCAGACCGCAGGAAGCTACTTCTGATACGCAGAGATGCCCATGAAATGGAAGTGCCAGTGGAGGATGAGCTCACAACGGGCACTTGCTGTGCAGAAAGTGGATTTGATGAAACTAAGCCTGGGGCCAAAAATGCTAAAAGGTGAAAGCAAACATGGCGGACCAAAGGTCTCTAACGTTTAAAAAACAGAAAGGACACAAAATTAGATAAGGGCAACGCCCCTTGAAATTTCTGGTTCGTTCTCGGGGTTCCAGCCCAATACTAATACTTTTCTCAACAAGAGCCAGGACACCTCAGGGCCCCACTGCCCCCAGGCCGGGCGTGGAGTCCAGGACGGGGCATCTTCTGTCCGCCCCACGCCTTCTCATAAATGTGTTTTCTGCGACGGGGTGGGACCAGCACTGGCAGAGGCAGCAGCCGCAGACCCTCCACAGAGCTGGGCACTGATTCAAACAGAGAAGCCAAGAAACTCAGACAGCGAAGGAGGAGGAGACACAGAAACCATGGAGGGGAATTTGTTTTAAAGGAGAGTAGGGGAAACTTAGGTGTTATTTCTCATCAAAGGAGTCTAATAAATTAAATAGGAAATAAAGTCATAATAAAGATTTCCAAAGTAAAAGCTGCCTTAGGGTGGCATTGG
Source organism: Homo sapiens (assembly GCF_000001405.40). Lineage (NCBI taxonomy): Eukaryota > Metazoa > Chordata > Mammalia > Primates > Hominidae > Homo > Homo sapiens. The sequence continues at coordinate 43,270,749 of NC_000021.9, forward strand.
GGATGGCCTTGGACAAGGGGGAGTAGTGGTGCCGTGTCAGTGAATATGCTTAACAGAGACCCGAGACCATCGCAGAGTAACAGAGATGCCCACTGCAGATAATCAGCTGACGCCCGCCGCGGTGCCTGGGAAACTCAGACTCTGTTCACCCTGCGGCTTCTGCCATCCTCACAGCACAGTTTCCACGGCAACCCCATGAATGCGTGCAGGGCCGGGCATCTGGAAATAGGTGTCCAAAGTCACGTGCAACCAGCAGCAGGCTCAACAACAAGGAAGGCAGAGCGTCACAATGGCCACAGCAATAACCACAATAACAAGAGTGGCAGAGCTGAGGGCAGTCCCCAGTGTGCCAGGCGCCGAGCTGAGCTGGACATCGTCTCACTCACGGCAGGAGCCTGTCCTGCGGAGGAGGATGTGGAGGGCGGCCAGTTGTGTAGCTTACAAACTCCAGCCGGGACTCCAGCCTGAGATGAGCCGCTGCAGAGTCCACACTCCCAATCCCCAGGCCAGAAGTTCTTAACCTCCACCAGGACCACCTAGGAGCTGTTTGAAATACAGGCTCCCGGGCCCCATCCCCACAGCTTTGATCTATAGGTCAGAAGTGGAGCCACGAATCTGCATTTTGACAAACCCTCCAGATGATATGAGAATGGTGGGCCTCGGAGCTCACTGAGAAAAGTCAGACACCACCCCAGACAAGTCTGGTTTCACAGGGAGGGCCGGGCCACCCTGCACTCACCGGTTGGATCAGAAAGTCAACAGCAGGACTCCAGGTTCGTTGGAATTTGGCCATCAGCGATGCTTCCAAATTTGGAGCCTGGCACAAGCGCAGAGACACATCTGTCTCCGCATCTCACTCATCTCCTGCCATTCCAATTCTCCCCACGTCCACCAAGGTGGCCGCCGCCATTGTGGCCACTTCCCAGTTTCTGGCTGGATCTGCCCAGGTCGGGCCCCCAGCTGGCTGCAAATGCTGATGGAGAAATCGAGGGCCTTGCACAGGGACACGCCTCGAGTGGTGAGGAAAGGCCCAATGTGGGATGTGTTTTGAAGGCACAGTCAACAGAGCTAGCTGATGGGTTGGATGCGGGTGGGAGGGGACCCCCAACTCCGTGGAGATCCCGGGCTTGTGGCCTGAGTGGCCGGGTGGGCTCCAGTCCTCCTGACTGAAGTTGAGCCAACCAAGGGGGAAGAGGTGCAGGGGGTGGACCCATGAATTAAGAGCCGGCCACTAAGTCGAGGTGCCCATTGACACCCACATGGGGATTCCCTGCAGACTTGGGATACATTTTATTACAAGTCCAATATTATATGAACATTCATTGCTTTTACAGTAAGAAAAAAAGCCAAACCTTCTAGCCATGATTTTTTATAAAGAAACAAATTCTTGGCCGGGTGCCGTGGTTCATGCCTGGAATCCCAGCACTTAGGGAGGCCAACACGGGCAGGTCACCTGAGGTTAGGAGTTCGAGACCAGCCTGGCCAACATGATGAAACCCTGTCTTTATTAAAAATACAAAAAGTAGCTGGGCGTGGTGATGCACACCTGTAGTCCCAGCTACTCAGGAGCCTGAGGCAGGAGAATCACTTGAACCTGGGAGGTGGAGGTTGCAGTGAGCCTGGAGGGAGGCAGGGCCAGGAGAGAGACCAGGGGGTGCTCACTGAGGCTGTAGCCAGGGACACCACTTCTCCCAGGGTGGAAGGTGGGGTGTGGGGTTTGCCCTGGCCTGGGAGTGATCAAGCCTGGGAGAACCTCAAACGTCCCCACTGGCCATCCTCGTGTGTGGGCGTGATCTGTCATATTATCCCAGAGGTCCCAGCAAGCCTCCTGGCCCTGCTGCTCCCTCTTGGTCCCAGACCCCGACAGTGGGACTCCCAGGTGTGACTGCTGTTGAGTTTGCCTTCATCAGCACTGGGGTTGATCCCCCCGGAAATGGGGGAGTCCCACGTGCACAGAGAATCCCAGCAAGGACCTGGCAGGAAGGGATGGACCCTGCGGGGAGCCAGGGAGGGCTGGGGGGTGCCAAGTGGGCAATGATGACTCGGGACTGGGTAGGGATGGAGGCCATGGGGGAACTGAGCTGGGTTCTGAGCAGGTGAGGCCAGGAGCCAAGACCCAGGAGTCTTCATGAGTCCCGCCCCCTTTTCTATAAGGTGCAGGGTGTGGGGGACGTTGCTGTGAGACACAAGCAGCCATACCCCAGGAACAGGGGCCCGGGAGCTGGCCCTGCTCCCTGGATGTTCACTGTGGACTCTGTCAGGGTCGATGATGGAGCTGAGAGCTGGGGACAGAAACCCCTGTCCCCAGAAGCGAGATCACCGCATGTCTCAGTCCGTTCCCGCTGCTGTAATGATGTACCATAGACTGGTGGCTTCTAAGCATGGACATTTATTTTTCACAGCCTTGCAGGCTGCAAGGCTGAGCTCAGGGCACCAGCAGGGTCGGATTCCCGTGAGCGCCTGCGGCTGGGTTACAGACAACATCCTTCGTCTGTGTCCCTGCGTGTGGAAGGACTGAGGGAGCTCTGTGTGGCCTTTATCAGGGCGTGAATCCCACGAACACGGCTCCACCCTGAGGATCTCCCCACCTCCTCAAGGCCCCATGGCCTCCCAATGCCATCATGATGCGGTGAGGATTTCAACAGATGAGTTTCTGGGGGCACCAACATTCAGATCATAGCGGCCGGCAGGTGCCACAGCCCCCACCCCGGCCGCTGGCAACCCAGGCTTCCCTGATCTCCTGGGTACCAGTAGCCCCTAAGTAGCCAGGCTGGAGGGGGCAGCCAGGAAGGTGGTGGTGGCCCCAGGAGGCAGGCTGTAGGGACAGAGACCAATGCCACCCATGACAAATGCCACCAGGGCCTGGGGGCTCACGCTCACCCTGACAGCCTCGAAAAGCACCCTTCACCAACGGTGCTCCGAGGGTTCACAGTAGCTCAGGGTATTGGAGAACTTCCTGAGGGCCGGCTCTGGAGGAGCTGTCATTCTCCCATGTGGGCCTGGAGTGCCTGTGTGGCAGGAACAGACCCTGGAGATGCCACAGTCAGGCTCAGCTCTGTTATCTGGAGAGCTTCCTCCCTGGTTTCTGGCCCCTCTCACCTCGGCATGCTTGCCTAGCGCTGTTTTGTTTACAGCTGTCTTTTGCCCAGGGGAAAACCCAACGCCAGCAGACGCCTCCTCTCTCCTTAGATGAGAAGAAAGCCCTGGTGGAATGGGACCTGCTGACCTGCCCTGCATGCGGCGTTTTGCGGTAGATGCTGGAAAGCCGGGTGGAAGGGAATGGGACCTGCTCACCTGCCCTGCATGTGGTGTTTTGTGGCAGATACTGGAAAGCCGGGTGGAAGGGGATGGGACCTGCTGACCTGCCCTGCATGCGGCGTTTTGTGGTAGATGCTGGAAAGCCAGGTGGAAGGGAATCGGACTTTGCTCTGTGCACGGTGTTTTGTGGTAGATACTGGAAAGCCAGGTCAAAGGGGATTGGACCTGCTGACCTGCCCTGCATGCGGCGTTTTGTGGTAGATGCTGGAAAACAGGGTGGAAGGGGTTGGGACCTGCTGACCTGCTCTGCATGTGGCATTTCGTAGTAGATGCTGGAAAGCCGGGTCTCGCCCCGTCCTTCCCCTTTGCACACCCTCCCGGGCTCCCCTCCCCTCCCCAGGTTGGAAATGCAAGGAGAAGGAAATGAAAGACTAGGGGAGTGGGTTTCCTTTTTGTGCCTCTGGTCTTTCCAGGGTTTTCTCCAGTTTGGGGAATTGCAAGCCCGTGACAGCTCAATGCACCACAGACCCCAAGGGCCGTGGTCTGTGCCAGAGAGCACAGCGAACCGTGGCCCGGCCAGTGTGGCCTGTGTAAGTTGGACTCTGGTCTGGGGGACTGCCCAGGCAGGGCTGGGGGTAAAAGTCCACTCAGAGTCTCTGCATGTGGCTGGAGTTTAGCAGCTGGCTGGGGTGAGCCGCTGCTTGCGGAGTTTCCTGAAGAGCCTGGGCTGCTGATGCTGGGACACTCTCAGCTCCTGGTTCCTCAGGGCTCCAGTCCCACAGATCCATCCACTGCAGGGCCCAGGGCCCAGTGAGCCTTTGGGACTGCCCTCCCTCCATCCTGTGTGAGAAGAGGGTTAGATGGGCGGCCTTGTGGGGGCAACGGGACACTGGCCAGCTTCTTCCTTACAAAGCAAGGGTCTTTCTGAGACTCTCCCTCCTAGGTGGGGAAGCGGCATGATGAGAAGGTGAGGTACGCTTCCAAGGGGGTCCCCTCTCCCCCCACCTCCCCACTCCCTGCCTGGGCTGTCAGGCACATGTGCAGGAAAAGTAGGAAGCAGCCAGGCCAGGCGCTCTGTGAGCAGCCTGATTCCTCACCCAGGCCCTGCAGCAGTGATGGTTTCAGGCACCAGCAAAGGGAGGGGTGATGCTGGAGCTCTGGGAGCAAAGTGGGTGGGGGAAGCTCTGGACATCGGGATGTGCCCGGGACATCCAGGCACCAGGAGATGGGCAAGGCAAGAAAGGCAGCCCTTCCACACAGTCCTGCCAGTTCCACACTCGAGGTAGGCACAGCAGAGGTGCTCATCCCTCCACCCCGAGCTGAGCCCTTCAGTAATGTCCAGGAAGCTATGGCAGTGGGTCAGACGATTGTGGGGTCCCATCGCCTGGGAAGCAGGAAGCTGCCCTCCTCCCTCCATCTGCTCTGCTTGGTGGAGGCTCCTTTCCTACAATTCTCCATGCCTCATGTGCCAAAGGAAACAAACCTGACTTTGTGGGGGCGCCTATGGGAGCCTGGAGCGCTTGCCAGAGCAGCTGGGAGCTCGGTGTTTTTGCTGCAAATGGAAGCAGTTCATAGAGGCCCAGAGTGTGAAGGGGAAGCATGCACATGATCTCCTGACTAGCAAGCAAGTGGCTTCCCTTCCCTCGGGGACCCACACACAGACAAGCCGGGGAGGAGGTGCCCTGACCACGTACACATGCCCAAGGGAGGAGGTGTCCCCACCACAGACACCAGGTGAGGGGGTGTCCCCACCACAGACACCAGGTGAGGGGGTGTCCCCACTAGAGAGACAGCAGGTGAGGGTGTGTCCCCACCACAGACATCAGGTGAGGGGGTGTCCCCACCACAGACACCAGGTGAGGGGGTGTCCCCACCACAGACATCAGGTGAGGGGGTGTCCCCACCACAGACACCAGGTGAGGGGGTGTCCCCACCACAGACACCAGGTGAGGGGGTGTCCCCACCAGAGAGACAGCAGGTGAGGGGGTGTCCCCACCACAGAGACACCAGGTGAGGGTGTGTCCCCACCAGAGAGACAGCAGGTGAGGGGGTGTCCCCAGCACACAGACACCAGGTGAGGGGTGTCCCCAGCACAGAGACAGCAGGTGAGGGGGTGTCCCCACCACAGAGACATCAGATGAGGGGGTGTCCCCACCACAGAGACAGCAGGTGAGTGGGTGTCCCCACCACAGAGACAGCAGGTGAGGGGGTGTCCCCACCATAGAGACAGCAGGTGAGGGGTGTCCCCAGCACAGAGACAGCAGGTGAGGAGGTGTCCCCACCACAGAGACAGCAGGTGAGGGGTGTCCCCAGCACAGAGACAGCAGGTGAGGAGGTGTCCCCAGCACAGTGACAGCAGGTGAGGGGTGTCCCCAGCACAGAGACAGCAGGTGAGGAGGTGTCCCCACTACAGACACCAGGTGAGGGTGTGTCCCCAGCACAGAGACGGCAAATGAGGAGGTGTCTCCACCACAGAGATGGCAGGTGAGGAGGCGTCTCCACACAAATCCTGATGGGTGCCCATGCCAGGAAATACTCTTTGGTAGGTTAGGGGCTCTGCACTGGTGTGGCCGAATTTGCGGAGGTGATTTCTCTGAGTTGACTTAATTTCTGACCTCCTTGGTCAACTTTCATTCACAGTCCATGTATTCCCAAGAGCTGGCGGGAGACCGTGGGGCTGTTTGGAGAGGAATATGTCTACTGGGTTTGTGCCTGGCCTGTCATCCTGCCTTGATGAGGGCAGGTTCCTGAAAGTCCCCTCCAAATCACAGGCATGACATTTGTCAAGAAGGAAGCAGTGAAGCTTTGGGAAGAGTAAGCTCAGGGCAGAATTCATGCCAGGTAGAGACAGCCTCAAAGGAGACAACTCGGCCAGCAAGGGAACCACCAGATGGCTCGTGGGGGAGGCCTGTCTGGGGAAGCCCAGTGGTGCGGGCATCGCTGGGGGTCCTCGTGACACAGCTGGGCCCTCCGCACACAATCACACACCCGGTGCATGGGCAGAGCATGGATTTCTCTGCCTGGCTCCGGGGATATTTCACTGTGGAACTGACAGTTCCTGCCCCGTCCCATTCTCTGCAGTGGGAGGATCGCTGGAGCCGAGGTTGTGGGGCACTCTCCTGCTCCTGCCATGAAAAATCAGCCGCCTCGGCTGTGTCCTCCCCACCCTCCCAGGGCCCCGCGGTCCTTTGTGACGAAAACAAGCCCTGTAGGATGAGGTCTGGCTGGGCTTCTTGGAGGTGACCCATCCCATTTTTTTTTAGTCCCCTAAAAAAAATAAGTCCAAAACAGTGTTTCGGAAATGGTGGAATGCAATGTTTATAGTTAACGAATCAACGTTTAGCTCATAAAAATTCAAAGCGGCCTAATTGTGCTACTCAAAACAGAATTATAGGATTGATTACAAATGTGACTTTGTGGTTCATGAGGCTAATGGGCCAAGTAGAAAGCCGTCAGGGGCCTCTTGTCTTTGTCCAGTCAGTGGCACCCAGAGACGGTGTGTGCCTTCGGTCCTGGGTGAAGGCGAGCCTGGCTCTTGTGCAAGCTCCGGCCACTCCCCGGCAGGCCCTGGGTCTTGCCTTTGTCTTCTCAGGGCCCACCAAGTAGCCCGAAGTCCTTAGCTTAGAACTCAAGCCTCTGTGATCCCGCCCAGGTGAGCTGGCCGGGGTGTTTCCTGTCCCTCCCCACCGGATCCTCTCGTGTGGCCCTGGTGGTGTGTTCAGCTCCCCGAGGGGCCACCATCCAGCCCACTGTCACAGCCAGTCTGCTCTGTGGGGACCTGAAGAGTCTGCCCCCGTCCCTAGCAGGTCCAGTCAGCAGCAGGACGAGGCTTCACCCAGTGGGAGCCGACGTGGGGCATCCACCTGTCTGCCCGTATTCCCAGGAGCACCCCCAAGGCCTCCCCACCTGTGGCTGCAGACTTTGCAACGGGAGCTCCGCCTCTTCTCTCCGCAAGGGAGGGAGAGTCTTCTGCCTCAGTGTGAACACCATTCATAGGGAAGCGTTCCCTGTCCATGAATGAGGAGAGAGTGTTATGTAACATATGCAAAAATAGGCTTACGCTCAAGTGTGTTCCAAGGGTAGGAGGAGAGCTCTTTATTTAAGCTCCTCATGAAGTGGTTTGGCTTCTGTCAAATGGAATCCTGGGCGACACTGAGCAGAATGTGTTCTGCTCGCGGAGGACAGAGGTTAATTGAGTGAATTGGTGAGGAGGCTGCTGGGCGGTGCTGGGCGGTGCTGGGCGATGAACATTGGTTCTCACAGTGCGCTCGCTCCCCTCCAGCCCCTGCTACATTAAGACTTGTTCTTTGCTTAAGTGCGGTGTTTGATGCTGTCTGTCTATCCATCTGGATATCTGCCCACGTACCCATCCATCCGCACACTCCTCTGGGGGTACAGGGCAGGAAGGTGGGGGTGAACAGCCTGATACGGAGAGGGGGTGGGGTGGGAAGTGACCCACTTCAGGCCAGGCACAAAGACGGGGCCAGCAGGACGGGTGTGCCAGGCTCCGGCCTCCCCTTTGGTGCTCTCAGGTGACTGAAGCTCCCTGCCACCTGCCCGTCTCATGGCCCCGCCCATTTTAGCTCATCAAACGCTGGCCATGAGTCAAGGCAGGCTCCCTAACCTCTCCCACGGCTACCACTGAGTCCCCACAGACCCCAGGAGGAAGGAACTGCGATGATCCCCATGTTACAGAAGGGGAAGCCGAGGCACTGAGTCCCCACAGACCCTAGGAGGAAGGAACTGTGATGATCCCCATGTTACAGAAGGGGAAGCCGAGGCACAGCAGATTGAGCATGTCACCCACGTCACACCAAGTTGGGATTTGAGCCTTAGCAGCCGGCCCCAGAGCCTGGCCCTGCTCGTGTCGGGGAATGGCGAGCTCCCCCACCCAGGAAAGCAGCGTGTTTGTGGGAGGCAATTTTGGCGTGGGCTCAGGAGGCGGGAGGCAACTTTGGTGTGGGCTCAGGAGGTCCGGGCTCCAGGCCTGGCTGAGACACCATTTCAGCCACGTGACTGAAAAGGAACAGTCCCCCTACCGTCCCCTCCACCTTGGTGCTCTCTCTCCATTTGGCTCTGTCTGTGGGAGTTTTGTTTAACCCGCATGGCAGGCACACGGGGAGAGAGGGGAACTGGCCATCTGTGGGCCCTCGCAGCTGGTGTGGCAGAGGCAGGCAGCGAAGACGCTCTGTGTCCGTGCAGTGAACCCGCTGGGTCCGTTCTGGCGGCCATCACACGTGCTCATAGGCTGGGGGCTCATAAGCAACAGAAACCTGTTTCTCACTGTTCTGGTTCACTGTTGTGGAGCTGGACACCCGCGGTCAAGGCGCCCCCAGATTCAGTGTCTGTCTGCTTTCTGGTTCATCGATGGCACCTTCTGGCTGTATCCACGTGCGGCAGAAGGAGCAAAGGAACTCTCTGGGGTCCCTTTCATAAGGGCGCTAATCCCATTCGCAAGGGCTCCACCTCCCCAGAGCCCCACCTCCTCACGCCAGCACACTGGGGGAGAGACTTCAATATCTGAATTTAGCGGGATACACTGAGACCACAGCAAAACCCCAGAGACCCAGGCTCTGCCCTCCCAGTACTTCCTGACAGCGGCTGCAGTGTGTGCTGCACTGGACCGCCCGAGGGCCGGAGGGGAGGCAGAGCTCAGGGAAGGGGCGGGCACCATCTAACACAGGAGGGGTAGGGGGGCCTCCCTGATGGCACGCCATTGCACAGACCCCAGGAAAGTAAGGAGGCAGTGCCTGGAGAAAGAGCTGTCCAGGCAGCAGGAACGGCACGTGCCAAGGCCCCGGGGCAGCAGCAGGCTTGGGCGCTCCAGAAGGGGCAGGCCAGTGAGGCTGGAGGGGAGGGGAGGAAGTGTCGAGGGCAGGTGGAGGGGAGGGGAGGTGGAAGGGAGGTAGAGGGGAGGGGAGGGGAGGTGGAGGTGGAGGGGAGGTGGAGGTAGAGGGGAGGGGAGGTGGAGGTGAGGTGAGGTGGAGGTGGAGGGGAAGTGGAGGGGAGGTAGAGAGGAGGGGAAGGGAGGTAGAGGGGTGGGAAAGGGAAGTGGAGGGGAGGAGGAGGTGGAGGGGAGGTGGAGGTGGAGGGGAGGTGGAGGGGGAGGGGGAGGGGAGGGGAGGTGGAGGTGGAGGGGAGGTGGAGGGGAGGGGAGGTGGAGGGGAGGGGAGGTGGAGGGGAGGGGAGGTGGAGGGGAGGGGAGGTGGAGGGGCGTTGGAGGGGAGGTGGAGGTGGAGGGGAGGTGGAGGGGGAGGGGGAAGGGAGGGGAGGTGGAGGTAGAGGGAAGGGGAGGTGGAGGGGAGGTGGAGGTGGAGGGGAGGGGAGGTGGAGGTAGAGGGGAGGTGGAGGTAGAGGGGAGATGGAGGGGGAGGGGAGGTAGAGGGGGAGGGGAGGGGAGGTGGAGGGGAGTTGGAGGGGAGGTGGAGGTAGAGGGGGAAGGGAGGGGAGGTGGAGGGGAGTTGGAGGGGAGGTGGAGGTGGAGGGGGAAGGGAGGGGAGGTGGAGGAAGAGGGAAGGGGAGGTGGAGGTGGAGGGGAAGTGGAGGTGGAGGGGATGGGGAGGGGGAGGGGAGGGGAGGTGGAGGGGCAGGGGAGGTGGAGGGGCAGTGGAGGTGGAGGGGACGGGGAAGGTGGAGGTAGAGGGGAGGGGAGGGGAGGTGGAGGTGGAGGGGATGGGGAGGTGGAGGGGAGGGGAGGTGGAGGGGAGGTGGAGATGGAGGTAGAGGGGAGGTGGAGGTGGGGGGAGGGGAGGGGAGGTGGAGGTGGCGGGGAGGGGAGGTGGAGGGGAGGGAAGGTGGAGGGGAGGGGAGGTGGAGGTAGAGGGGAGGTGGAGGTAGAGGGGAGGTGGAGGTAGAGGGGACGGGAGGGGAGGTGGAGGGGAGGGGAGGGGAGGTGGAGGTAGAGGGGAGGTGGAGGTAGGGGGAGGGGAGGGGAGGTGGGGGCAGAGGGGAGGTGGAGGTAGGGGGAGGGGAGGGGAGGGGAGGTGGTCATAGAAGGCTGTGGCAGGGGTTGCTTCATTGCTTGCAAAAAGGTCACACCACTGCATAACCCCACCAACAGAAAGCAGGTCAGCGGTTGCCTGTGGCAGGTAGGAGGAGATTTTGAGGGTGGGGGAAAGGCCCCGAATCCTGCCTGTGGCAGTGGTCTCGTGGTGTAGACATCTGTCAAACTCACCGATCTGGATGGTTTAAATGAGTGCAGCTTATTGTGCACAAGCGATTCCTCCATTGAAAAACCACAGGAGAAAAGAGCTCCTCAAGGCCTCCAAGCCGTGGGTAGCAAAATGGAAACCAGCCCTGGTTTTGGGGAAACACGATGATGATGCAGTGGGTCATCCGAGGTCTGTCCCGGGGGACATCTCCACAGTGCAGGTCTGGGAGAGTAAACATCACTGCACACCCAGGACAGGAGGTGGCCGCTCACCCCATCTGCATCTATAGGCGTGCGCTGTGGGCGGCAGGGTGAGTGGGGACCCCCGGGGGATGGGCTGCCTCGCCTGGGCTTGTGCTTTGACTCAGGGATGGTGCCGGGGCTGTGGTGCTGGGAGAAGGGGTTTGAGAACCTGAAGCCTGCACTTCAGTGGAAATCAAGCCCCTGGGGCTGGAATAGGCCCCCTCCTCCCGATGTTCATCCTGGAGGGTGTAGAGATGAAAAAGGGCGTGATGATTCTGGGGTTCCCTGGGCTAGGGGAGCTTCCAGGTGGAAACTGAGGCACTTGCCTCAGCGTCTGGCAAAGTGAGAGTGGGGCATCAGGAGGGGCCTCTGCCAGCCCAGAAGGACTTTGTAGCCACCCAGTGTCCCCCAGGGCCCAAGGGCTGCCTTGCAGCAGCCTTGGCTGCCAGCCTCTGCTGTTGGTAAGGACCCAGCTCCCCACTCCTGGACTCCCCCACTTGGCATGGGGTGCATCCTGGGACTTCTGCAGCTCCGGCCGCTCCCTGCAGCGGGGGCTGATAAGCTCCTCCTCTCCCCACCACACCCCCTCTGCTCTCAGCCTCCCCATCACCTCCCCATCACAGCCCAGCCCCCGGCCTCAGTTCCCCGCAACACCATGTTCAGCAATCTCCCTGGGTGACTTTGCACCCAGAGGGACCCCCTCTCACTCCCCAAACCTGACTGTTCTCCAGCCCTGGAACCACAGGCCTCCAGAGGGCTCTCCTGGCCCCATACCTATCAGCCAGCTCCCCCGCCTACCCCGTCATGCCTCTGCCCTTCCCCACTGGCCTGCAGCCGGGTTCCCAGCCTCAGACTCTCGGCACCTCTGACCTACTTGAACCTGGCCCTTGCCCCAGCCACAGCAGGCACTGCTCGTTCCCCTCTGCTTACCCCCACCTGTCTGGACCCAGCTCCCCCTTCAGGCCTGTGGACCCAGCAGGAGCAGAGAATGGGTCATGTGTGGGTTTCCAGGTGGGCAGAGGCGGGCACAGGCAAGGACGCCTGCAGGAGGTATCCAGGGACTTAGCAAACGAGCGGAGTAGAGAGGTGGGGGCAGCAGGCAGGGTGAGGAGAGGGTCCAGGAGGGGGTCCAGGAGGGGGCCAGTCTCCGGCTACAGGGACAGAATGGCCAGGCCTCAGGCCACAACGCCCTGATTAGTGAAGCCTTGCCTTGTGGCCGAGTGAGACAGGGGCGCATTATAGGAGGCAGGCCACAGCCTCCTGGTCCTGGGCCCCGTGGGTCGGTGGGAACCAGCCCCTTGAGCACCTGCTGTGGGCAGACCCTGGAGGTGCGAGGGCACGTGCATCAGTCAGCCTCAGATGACTTTGCCCAATCAGGACAGCACCCATTCCACGGAAAAGGAAACTGAGGCTCCAAAAAGCAGTCTGGCTCAGGCGTGACGCAGTGGCTGAGGCTGAGTCCAGGGCCAGATGTTCTCTACTGTGTATTCTCAGGAGGATGTGGGGGTCAGACGATGCAGGGACATCTGGAACTGCACCAGCACAGAACCGACACGTTGTTAGTCATCGTCACTCGGCAGGGCTGAAGACCACCAGAACTCATGACAGGCAGACGTGCCTGGCCCAGTTGAGGATGTAGCCTCAGAGCCAAGCGCCAGTCCTGTTGGCCACGTGGGCTGGGGGCAGGATAGACCAGGTCAGCATTCACAAGGTGCAAGAAGAGTGGGAGCTGTTCATCTGGGTTTAGGAGCTGTCAGAAGGAGGCTAGTTTCTTACCACCAGAGCTGCACTGAGCTCGCAGGACAGTGGATCTCAGCCTTGGCTGATGGAGTCAGCCAGTTCTGATTATCTGTCTGGGGGTGTCAAGGCTCCAGAGTCCAACTGCACAGCTCCCCACCACTTGCGGCCAGTGGTTGTGGCAGCATCTCCGAGTCTGTGTCTGCAACTCTCATCCCTGTGTTGAGCTGACCACAGTGTTTGGCATGGTGCCTGGCACATGGTAAGTGCTCAAAGAACCTTAGGCCTCAGAACTGTGACTGCCTTTGGATGGCAGATCTAGAAAAGAGGCCGTACGTTCTTCCAGTTCCCCTGACAGGTTTACATCATGGCTGCACCTAATGATCATTGGGACTCACCTATCATGTCCCATCTTACTTATCCATCCATCCATCCATCCATCCATTCATCCATTCATCTCTCCATCCATTATCCATCTTTCTATCATTCATCATCCATCCATCATCTATTCATCCATCCATCCATTCATCCATCCATCCATCCATCCATTCATCCATCCATCCATCCATTCATCTATTCATCTCTCCATCCATTATCCATCTTTCTATCATTCATTATCCATCCATCATCTATTCATCCATCCATTCATCCATCCATGTATCCATTCATCCATCCACCTATCCATCTGTTCATCCATCCATCAGTCATTCATCCTTCCATCATTCATCATCCATCCATCCATCATCTATTCATCTATCCATCCATTTATCTACTTATCCATCCATCCATCCATCCATCCATCCATCCATCCATGCATCCATTTCAGAGAACTGAAAACATGTTCACAGAAAAACTTGCACATGAATGTTTATGGCAGCATTATTCGTAAGAGCCAAACAGTGGAAACAACTCAAATATCCATCAATTGGTGATTGGATAAACAAAACAAGATACATGCATAAAATGGAATATCATTGTCTATAAAAAGGGATGAAATGCTGATACATGCTACCATGTGGATGAATTCTGAAAACATTATACTGAGTATAATCCATCCGTTCATTCATCCATCCATCCATCCATTTATCACCCATTCATCCATCCACCCATCTATTCATCTATCCATCCATCATCCACCCTTCCATCATTCATCATCCATCCATCCATCATCTATTCATCCATCCATACATTCATCTGTCTATCCACCCATTCACCTGTTTATTTATCCATTCATCCATCCATTTATCCATCCATCCATCTATTCATCCATCCGTCAGTGTATCTACTTATTCATCCATCCATCCATTCATCCAGCCATTTATCCACCCATTTATCCATCCATCCATCTATCCACCCATTTATCCATCCATCCATCTGTTCATCCATTCATCCACCTAATCTTTCTGTTTATTTGCTTTTTCTCTCTATGAAGCTACCTGTTCTGGGCATGTCATATCTAACATGTGGCTTTTTGTGTGTGGCTTTTTTACTCAGTAAAATGTTTTCAGAATTCATCCACATAGTAGCATGTATCAACATTTCATCCCTTTTTATAGATAAATGATATTCCATTTTATGCATGTATCTTGTTTTGTTTATCCAATCACCAATTGATGGATATTTGAGTTGTTTCCACTGTTTGGCTCTTACAAATAATGCTGCCGTAAACATTCATGTGCAAGTTTTTCTGTGAACATGTTTTCAGTTCTCTTGTGTATACACCTTGGAGCGGAATTGCTGGTGCCTTGATGTTTTATTCCCAAACTGCTAGTATCACAAAATAATACCCTTCAGTATTGTTGGTATTTATTTAGGCTTAACTTCACATGCAACTTGGGAACTAGACCCGGCCAGTGGGGAGTGCTTGCAAGAGGAACCTGGAAAAGTGGAAGGTCTAGATCTGTAAGTCCAAGTTCTCATGTTGAAAGGGCAACATAGATGTTCTTATTATTCAAATTAGACCAAAATGTGTTTGTTCTGTGTCTGAATTATTGTATACCTTGGAAAACCTATTTAGGATTCACATGAGAAGACAGCCAAAGAGGACAAATTTATGTCATTCATAAGATCGTTCAAAAATAGTCACAGAATGTCCATCTGGTGCCAGAAGTTTGTTGAATGTTGGGATATAAATAAATATAATGATTAAGTTCAAATTATTACCTCATCTTTGTTTCTTTGCATCATTGTCCTCGAATGTGGCCTATTCGCTGCTTTTCTCAGTGTTTTCTATAAGGTGATAATTAAAACATCAACCCGAAAGACAATCATTGTGGGCCGAATTGTGCTCCTCCAAGTCCATATGTTGCAGCCCTAGCCCCCGGCACCACAGAATGTCCTTATTTGGAGGTAGGGACCTTAAAGAGGTGATTAAGGTAAAATTAGGCCATTGGCATGGCCCCTAATTGAATCTGACTGGTGTCCTTGTAAGAAGAGTGGATTAGGACACTGACAAACACACAGGGATGACCACTCAAGGACACATGGAGAAGACGCCATCTAGAAGCCAAGGAGAGAGCCCTCAGGAGGCACCAGCCCTGCTGGATTAGGACACTGACACACACAGAGGGATGACCACTCAAGGACACACGGAGAAGACGCCATCTAGAAGCCAAGGAGAGAGCCCTCAGGAGGCACCAGCCCTGCTGGATTAGGACACTGACACACACAGAGGGATGACCACTCAAGGACACACGGAGAAGACGCCATCTAGAAGCCAAGGAGAGAGGCCTCGGGAGGCACCAGCCCTGCTGGATTAGGACACCGCCACACACAGAGGGATGACCACTCAAGGACACATGGAGAAGACGCCATCTAGAAGCCAAGGAGAGAGGCCTCAGGAGGCACCAGCCCTGCTGGATTAGGACACCAGCACACACAGAGGGATGACCACTCAAGGACACACGGAGAAGACGCCATCTAGAAGCCAAGGAGAGAGCCCTCAGGAGGCACCAGCCCTGCTGGATTAGGACACCGACACACACAGAGGGATGACCACTCAAGGACACATGGAGAAGACACCATCTAGAAGCCAAGGAGAGAGGCCTCGGGAGGCACCAGCCCTGCTGGATTAGGACACCGACACACACAGAGGGATGTCCACTCGAGGACACATGGAGAAGACCCCATCTAGAAGCCAAGGAGAGAGGCCTCGGGAGGCACCAGCCCTGCTGGAACCTTGATCTCAGCCTCCAGCCCCCAGCACTCTGGGAGAATGCATTTTTGTTGTCTGAGCCACCCACCCAGTGTGTGGTTCTTTGTTATGGCAGCTGGAACGAACTAATCCAATATGCCTAGTCACCCAGGTATTGCCCTAGGGACAGAAAATTCACCAACACCCTCTCTATGCACTCTATGAAGAGACCGGACTTTTAAAATGTTTTAAATGCCTTATTCACAACATCTCATGATATTTTTGTTTTCCTCTTTTAATTGCTCTAATCTAATTAATGAGTTTCCCCTAAGCAAAGAGTTCTCACTTTATTGTTACTTTTTGTCTTTTCACTACACGTATGCAACATTTGATCTTATTTGCTATTTGTTTTTAAGAACTTTTCTTTTTTTAAAAAAGTTTATTTATTTAATTTTTATTGAGATGAAGTCTCGCTATGTTACCCAGGCTGGTCTTGAATGCCTGAGCTTAAGTGATCCTCCTGCCTCAGTCTCCCAAAGTGCTGGGATTACAGGTGTGAGCCACCGTACCCAGCCTAAAAACTTTCTTTTCATTTGGAAATAATTTTAGAAACACAGAGAGTTACAACGATAGTCCAGAGAGCTCCTGTAGATTCTATCCCTGCTTTCGCCTAATGTTCACTCTTGATTATTTTTTAGTTTCAAATGTAATCCATGTTGCTTGGAGAAAGCATGGAAAATATTGGAAATGAAGTGGATTTTTAAAAAAAAATCAGTTTAATATTAGCACTAAGACATAAATCCAGTTACCTTTAGGAATCTTTCTTTGCAGCATTTTTTTCTTTTACTTTTCCTTTGAAATAATTATCAGATTACAGGAAGTGGCAAGGAGAGCAGACAGGGCTCTCATGGGCCCTTCACCCAGTTTCCCTGCAACAGCTGCCGCTGATGTCACCATAGCGCTAACTGACACCAGGAAATGGGTATTGTACGATGTGTGCACAGTTCTCCACCATTCGATCGCACGTGTAGATTCATGAAGCCACCGCCCAGTCCAGGGTGTCCCATCACCCAGCTATCTCTCTCGGGCTCCCCCTTGCTGGTCTCCTCCCCCGAACCATCCTCAACCCCTAGCAACCACTCCTTTGTTCTCCAGTGCCACACTTGGTCATTTCGAGACAGTGGTATATACAGAATCAGGCAGAACGTGACCTTTTGGGACTGGCCTTTTTGCTTAGTGCAATGCCCGTGACATCGGGCAGGTGGGTGTGTGCAGTAGCTCACCTCTTCCTACCGCTGTATTCCAGACACCACGGTGTGTTTAGCCGGTCACCTGGTGAAGGACATCTGGGTTGGCTGTGTCCGGTTTGGGGCTGTTATAAATAAAGATGCATGAACACTCGTGTGCCCTTTTCGGTGTGATCAGAAGTTTTTATTTCCTAGGGATAAATGCCCAAGAGTACAATTGCTGGGTCATGGTAATAGACTTAGTTTTTAAAGAAACTGCCAAAGCCTGGCCTACCATCCTTCCCTTCCCAGTGCACCCACAGGAGGTGTCATTTTACATTCCCAGAAGCAGGATATGAGTCTGTTCTGTAATGCACAGATACTACTGATATTATTTTGCTTGCGATCAAATTGTACCTGCTGTTTTATAATGGGCTTGTGTCCCTTGATATGATCTTATGAGCATTTCTCACACGTATTTTCCTACAGCTCCTTTAAAATTGCTGAATAAGGCAGCACGTGGGTAAACAGCCCCAGGGCCCAGTCCCACAGGGCTTACTTAAGCGCGTGTCCACTCCATGGCCGCACCCGTGCATCTGCTGCGGAACCTGGCGGGCACAATGCTAGGGGTGGGGCTGGAGTCACCGAGACTTGGTCCTGCTCCATGGGACTTAGAGCTGGTCCACAGATGAACACGTTGATCACAGACCAGGAGTGCTGTGGGCGAGACTACACAGAGTCCCGAGTATAAGCCGTGTTAGGTCAGGGAGAGTGCCCACCCATGTGATGTCTGGGCTGAGGTCTGGAGAAAATGCAAGCGTTCAATAGGCTGGGGCAGGGGAGGGCTGGCTGTGCGCGCTCTATCTTCGTCAAATCTATTTTATCTAATCATTTGCAAAAGCAAATAACACGAGCTCTCTGTCCCGGGACAGGCACACAGCTGTTGACTTTGTTCACTGTTTTGTGCCCCTCACAAGCATGAACTGGGCATGACTCAGGCATTTGCAGAAAGAATGTCAAATGTCACCCAGAATATCACTGTATACAAGAGGTCTTTGCACACAGCTCCAATATTTTGCTTAGAGGTCAATCTCTGGAAGTTAAATGGCTTGTTGCTGAATGCTGCATACATTTCCAAGGTCTAGATACTGTTCTAAACCTTAGTGACTGCTCATTTACACTCTGGACCCTAGACTTCGGCGAGCACCCTCTCTAGATGGCCACACCATGAGTGTCTCACCAGGGCTCAGGGGCTGCCTATCCCCTTCCCTCCTGAGCTGGGCCCCCAAATCCTAAGGCTGGGTGTATATGGCCAAGTGCAGATGGAGGCAGGCTCTGTTTTCAGGAGCAGGACCTGATCCAAGTTTATTACCAAATTAAATACTCCTCCCCCCTCCTCATCGTAGACCAAGGCACAGGATTTGTTTGGAGCTTGGGGTGGGGAGGGAGGTGAAATGATGGGAGGGTTTCCACATGGGGTGGAGAGGGCAGGGTGCTCCACTCTGCAGCTTACAGATAGAGGCAAAAATCAATAGGGCTTGACTTTGGTGTCCCCCTTCTGGACCTGCAGGTGGATTCCCACCAACTGATCAGCCTTGCCAGGGCTTTCTGGGAGCCTGTCTGGTGGGAAGGAGCTCCCACAGCAGTGGTGATGGAGAAGGTCCCAGCTCTACAGATCCTAGGCCCATGAGATGGATAGAGATGGTACAGAGAGAGGGAAAGGCCCAGAAGCCTCTGAAGGACAGCAGGGCACAGTCTGCCATCTCACCTGGCAGGGGCCCAGGTACCTGAGCACCGAGAGGCAGGTTTGCACTCGGCACCTGTCTCTAAGACTCTCCCAACACACTTACCTTTGTCTTTGCACACTGGCCCTGGGCAGTGTGGCAAGGTGGTTCTGCATGAACACAGGCTTATAGTATCGTGGTCATCAAAGATGGCCCTACCAATTCTCCCTCCCCAGCACAACTGCATACTGCCCCTCACACCGAGAGACAGAGTGTAAATCCCTGATCCTGGATTCCCCATTAATGGCTTTGACTAAAACAATGCAGCAGAAGTGACATCCTGAGATTTCCACACCCAGATCTTAAGAAAACTAGGCTTCCACTTCCTGCAGATGGGAACCTGGCTGCCATACTGTGAGGGAGTCCAAGCAGCCACATGGAGAGGCCCAGTCAGTGGAGGACCAGGCCTCCCACCAGCAGCCCAGCTGAGCTGCTGTAGGAGTGAGGCCATTTGGGACCTTCCAACCATCCCTGCACCCAGTGGCACTGTGGAAGCAGGAGAACCCCCAAGTCAATCTGTTCTGGAGTCGTTTGTTATTGAGCAATGAATAACTGTATCAGAAATTGATGTGGCAGTGTTCTTTTAAGAATAACTTAATTTAGGATTTCAGATTTTGCTCATTTATAAGGAGCATTCACCCAGTTTCCAGAAATGATTCAACTAGAGCCTGGAGACGTGGGTCACCTTCCTCTTGGTGAAGCCAGTGACACTTCTCAGATTGAGTCTGGGCCATTTTCAAAGCAATAGCATCTGGCAAAGGCCCAGTGGCCAGGGCGTCTCCTCCCTGGAGACCCGCCTGATTTCAGTAGCTCCTTCCTGACGCTGTTTTGGGGCCGGTGTGAGAGGCCCCCATGGCTGCCTTGGGAGGGTCCCCACAAGCTCAGGCGGGTTGAGGGGGGCGGCTTCCTGGCAATGAACTTGAACCTTCAGATCAGGGAGGGTCTCCCTTTTCCTCTGGAGCAGGCCCCACTGGAAACCTTACTGCAGTTGGGACTTCCCTGCTGGCCCTTGGCCCTGGAGAGGGGGTGTCCTCCCTGGTGGGTCCCATTGTGTTTGCAGTTTCCAGGCAGTTTCTGGCACACTGGCCTTGGACCCCCAGGCTGGGAGCCATGGCGTGCACACAAAACGACCTTCATCTCCTGCTTCTGCTTGGCAAGCTACCCGGGAGGTTTTATTTTCCACTGAAGTTGCTTCCCGATTATGGGCATCCCTGTCCATTCAAGACCCTTTTCAAAGCCTTGCTAATTGCCCCCCAGAGCCCCACCCGCATCCCAGCAGCAAGCCCAGGCCAGCTGTTCTTTTGATCTCGAAAGGCAAAAGAGGAAGCGGAGAAAGGCTGTTTGCAGGCCAACTGTGCGCACAGGTGTGAGGGAGCTGTCCAGCTTCCACTCCGTCATTTCCCCATGAGATTGGTCTTTCTGGCTTAATCCTCCTCCTGGGCCCTCCCCTGTGCCCCCCTCTCAGAGCTGGATGGTGGCCGCCCTGACAGTCCTCATCACACCCGGGGCTCTCAGATGGGAGCAGGAAGGGCTGGCGCCCCAGCCACCTCGGCCCCTCTTCCAGAGGGTACCACAAGAACCCAGATGGCCACGGCTGTCCCTGTCCAGGCAGCAGTCCGCGTACACAACGCACTCCCCTGAGTGTGATCCCCTCAAACTCCCACGACGCCCACCCGAGGTGAATGCTGCTGTTACTCCCGCTTTCCAGAGAAAACAAACTCAGGGAAGGCACAAAATACATTGCGACTCACAGCCGGCCGCTGGCAGGAGCCAAGGTGCTGCTGGGGCCACGGTGCCCACGGCCCGTGCCCGGGTGCTGACACTGTCCCCACCGCCTTCCTCCCGGCGGCCATGACCCCAATCCACAGCGGTCACCGGCAGGGGCAGTGGTGGACCAGGGCCTGGCTCAGCCTCACTGTGCCAGGGCCCCTCGCCGTACAGAAGGAACTGGGACATCCTCATAGGGTCGGCCGGAGTGTCACAGTGGACACAAGGCCCCAGGCAGTGTCCCCCTGGAAAGCACCTCCAAGGGCTGCTGTGACCCCCACACCACGTCCTGGAGGAGGGGCAGATCCCCCCACAGGAGGGACATGGTCTCTCTTCCTAATCCCCGGCATCAACTCTGATTCTTTTTACCGAGAGAGACCCGTTCCCACCCTCCTGGGGTTGGCCTCACTCAGAGAAGAGGGCAGAAGGAAAGTGAGTGTGTGGGACCCTGGAGGCCATGGTGAACATGCCCGTGAGTCCCCTCAGGCCAGGGTCCTCAGCCAGGGTCCTCGGGTTCTCGTTTGGACTTGTTTATGAGCCCCCAAGGCACACTTATTAGGAGTGAGAGCTTGGGCCCCCGGCACTCTCAGCCAGGCACCTGCCGTGAACTGGGCATCGCCAGGAGCCACCAGACAGGTTCCCAGGCTGTCAGGAAGGGCCTTGATCAGAGGTGCAGGGGCCGGGCACTTCATGCCTGCCCTCCTCCCTGCAGCCCAAGCTCTAGTCCCAGGTCAGAGGATTTCTTCCAGTGACCCTCCGGGGGCACAGGAGAGGTTGGGCAGGCTGGAGCTGGGTGAATGGTGCACAGAACCCTTTTGGGGAACAGCGGCCCCCAGGAAGGCCGGGCCCAGGCAGCGGTGGCTGGCAGATGGCCACTTCTAGCATTTGGATGTGAGGTGTTGGTAAATGAGCCCCTGGGAGACATTTTTTGGAAAAAAAAAAACCACACCTCCATATGTCAAGTTGCACAAGTTTTAGGTTGACCTCCCTCCGGGAAGGGGGTCTGCCCGAAGGTTCCTCAGACTTTGAGCACATTACCTTCCCCCCAGAGGCCAAAGTCCCTGCCAGGCAATGGGAGGGCTGTCACCACAGAGTCCTCTTAGGGAGGGCCAGGGCCACTGATGGGACCCTCCACTCACAGAGTGTCCACACCCACCCACCCACAAGGGCCCGCCAGGCGGGAGACTCGTCAAAGCTCCAGGCACACTAGGCTGCCCAGCCCATGGTGTCCCCATCACCTGCCGCCTCTGGCTGGGGTAGAGCCTTTTAGCTATGGCCAGACCTGCTCTGCAGATTCCAACAAGGCCTCATGTCCCAGCAACGGTGGCGTCCCTGCCAAAGGGGACGGGAGCTGAGCAAGGGTCTTCACTCCCTCGTGCCACCCCTCCGGCCTCTAGGAAAGTGCTGATAGCAAGGCCGAGGACAGCAAAGCCGAGACAGCAAGGCCGAGACAGCAAGGCCGAGACAGCAAGGCCGAGGACAGCGCTCCGGGAATGAAAGCGAAGCTCCAGTGGTTGCTCCAAGACGTGGGTCTGGTGGGAGCAGAGTGGGCTGTTTTTGGAGCTTCTCCCCTGCGATGTGAAGGCAGGAGCAAGGGCAGCTGTCCTGCTCAGCTGAGGCATGGGATGGCCACAGCATCCCTGCAGAGCCCACCAGGATGCACTCAGAACTGACTTGTCCTGCACACACCTACACCCCCTCACACACCCACATCCCCACACCTCTTGCCAAGGAAAAGCCAGGGGACGTCTCCCAGGTTCCGTTCTTGGAGTGGGTGGACTTCCCAACGTAGCAGGTCCTTGGGTGGAAGACAGGGCCTGTGACTTAGAGCAGAGGTGCAAGTCACAGTGGAGCTGGCCGCTCCCCTAATACAAAGAGGTAGAGGATGTGGGATAACACGTGTTTACTGCAGCTTCTCCCTCCTCCATTTCCTTCCTTTCCTCCCTCCTCCATTCCCTCCCTGTTCTCCCTCCTCCATTCCCTCCCTGTCCTCCCTCCTCCATTCCCTCCCTGTCCCCCCTCCTCCATTCCCTCCCTGTCCTCCCTCCTCCATTCTCTCCCTGTTCCCTGTCCCCCATTTCCTTCCTTTCCTCCCTCCTCCATTCCCTCCCTGTCCCCCCTCCTCCATTCCCTCCCTGTCCTATTTCTTAATAGACTTTGTTTTTTATCGCAATCATAGGTTCGCAGTGACACTGAGTGGAAGGCACAGAGGGTTCTCATACACCCCGACCCTCCATGCTCGGCCTCCCCCATTAACCTCTGCGGCCACGGTGGGCTGTGCTGTGGTGACGCACACGCCCTTACCACCCCGAGTCCGTAGTTTACACTGGGGTTCATTCTTGGTGTTGGACATTCTGTGGATTTCGACAAATGTACGACACGCACCCACCATTGTAGTGTCGCACAGACTTCACGGCCCTGGAACCCCCGCGCTGCACCTGCTCATTTCTTCCTCTCTCTTTTTACCATGGTTTACACAGATTCCAGATCCAGGGGCACGAACTGGAGTTATCATCCATGGTCACAGCACACTCTCACACTGGTCCATGCTCAGCTGTCGTTTTATTATTTTATTTTATTTTATTTATCCTTTTTTCCAAGACGGAGTCTTGCCCATTGCCTAGGAATGCAATGGGTGATCTCAGCTCACTACAGACTCTGCCTCCTGGGTTCAAGTGATTCTCCTGCCTCAGCCTCCCAAGTAGCTGGGATTACAGGTGTGTGGCACCATGCCTGGCTAATATTTTTGTATTTTCAGTAGAGACGGGGTTTCACCATGTTGGCCAGGCTGGTCTTGAACTCCTGACTTCGTGATCAGCCTGCCTTGGCCTCCCAAAGTGCTGAGATTACAGGTGTGAGCAACCGCACCTGGCCTATATTATTATTGTGATTATATCATGAACACTGGGCACCAATGACCAACCCAAAAGCTGAAATGTAGTCACTTCTGTTTGGGTCTGACCTTTCCCATCCCAGCCCCTCCTCCTCCATCAGAGGTAACCACAACTCCATCCCTGGTGCTGGAGTTTGATTTTCAGTCTTATGGTACAGGGGTGTTTGTGTGTGTGTGTGTGTGTGTGTGTGTATACTTAAATAGTTTGGCTTATTTATGAAAATCATAAAAAGGATGTCGCTCTTCAGCAGCTTTCTGAGATTGGCTTTTCCTGCTCAGTGTGATGCTGGTAAGATTTGTTCGTATTCTGTCTGCGCTGTAGTTCATTCAGTGTCGTGGTTGTAGAATTTTCCACTGTGTGATCCTATCATGAGTGATCCGTCCTTCTCTCCTCTCACTGTCGACGTGTGGGCTGCTCCGGGGCTTCCTCCTGCCAACTGAGCTCCTGGCACGCCTGCAGGGTCTCTCCTGGGTGGAGAGCTAAGAATAAAAGCTGGATCTTGGAAATGCAAAATCCTGACTTGACAAGGTGATGCCTGGCAGTTTCTGCAAAATGCTTGCATCGACTTCATCGACTTACACTTTGCCAGCTGTGTGCAAGGGTGCTGTTGATCCCCATCCTTGGAACATTTAGAATTATCAAAAAACTTTAAATTGTTGTCAATCAAATTCACGCAAAATCGTATGTTGTCCTGAGTTGTGTCCCTCAATTAACAGTGAGAATGGGCCCCTCTTATCACTCACTGGCCATGTGTTTTTCCTCTTCTGGGAAATGCCCGTTCATGACCTTTGTCCATTTTTCTATTGGGTCATTTGCTTTTTCTTATTGACTTGTAGGAGATATTTGTACATTCTCCACAGTGGTCTTTTCTTAATTTTTTTGTGTGGTGAATCTTGTCTTCTGGGTTGTAGCTTGTCTCTGTATCTTCTTTAAGGCGTAGTTTGATGAATAAAAGTCCTAATTTGAATGAAGTCAACTGTAACAATCTTTCCTTTCATATTGTTGATATTTCGTGTGTCTTGTATAAGAAATCCCTTCCTACTGTGAGGTCACATAGATACCCACCTATATTTTCTCCTATAAGTTTTAAATCTTTGCTTTTGACATTTCGATTCTTAATCTGTTTGGAGATACTTTCCGTATACGGTGTGGACACAGAATCTAATTTTTTTTTAATGTGGTTTTTCAGTCCTATTTATCAAACGACTTTCCCCAGGGACCCACACACCACTTCCCTATGTACAAGCCCATCTGTGGGTGGGTGTATTTCTGGGCTCTGTATTCTGCTTCATTAATCAATTTGTTTATCCTGGGCCAATACCACACATCACACTGTATTATAGCTGTATGATTAGCCTTTTCAACTGATGGGGCAACTCCACCTCCTTCTTTTTCTTCTTCAAATGTGTTCAGCTGTTCCTTTTGAAAATTGGGTCGTAACTTACTCGTAGTACAGTGCACAAGCCTCAAGGGTACATTTCAATTACTTTCTTTACAAATGTGCTCACTTACACCGATTACACGTGCTGCATAAACAACCTCTCCAAAACCGAGCAGCATGACGTAGCCTTTCTGTTGTGCTCAGGACTCTGTGGACCTGGAGGCCAGCCAGGCAGGCAAGGACAGCTCGCCTCTGCACAGTGATTTCTGCGAAGAGTTGAAGGCTGGGCGTGACCTGAAGCCTGGGGGTGCATGAAGTTGGAGCATCTTTTCTCACATGTCTGTTGGCTGCTGCTGGCTGGGATCTCTGGGGAGCTGTGGCTGGAACTCCTACACATGGCCTCTCCTTGTGTTGCTTCCTCATGGATTGGATTGGGCTTCCTCACAACATGGCGGCTGGATTCCTTGATGGAGTGTCCCAAGAGAGCTAGGAGGAGGCACATGACATATTTGTGATCCAGACTTGGAAGTCACACAGAGTTACTTCCATGATACTCTTGGTCGAGGAGATCACAAAGGTCTCTTCAGGTTCAAGGGGAAGGGATATAGACCTTGACTCTCAATAGGAGGCTTCTCAAGGTCACATTGGAAAGAGCTTGTGGGATGGGAGACATCTATGCAGTCATCTTTGGAAAACACAGCCTGCCATTTCTGTATAACAGGTGCCCAGATCAAGATGTAAACTATTTCCAGGGACCCAGTGGGCCCTTGGGGGCCCCCTCCAGTCCATACCAGCCCCTCAAGGTAGTTACTACCCTGATGTCTGTTGGCATAGACTAGTTCTGCCTAATCTTGAATATAGGCAGAATAGACAAATGGAGTCACGTGGTGTGTTGTGTACTCTTTCTTGAGTGGTTTCTTGCATGTCATAGTGTGCCTATTGTCGAGTGCAGCAGCATCTTGTTCTTGTTCACTGCTGTGGACTGTTGTACGGTGTGAACAGATCACGGATTGCGCACTCAATCTTGACAGGCCACTGGCCATTTCCAGTGTTTGATTATTATGAGGAATGATGCCACAAGCATTCTCGTATGACTTTTTTGGTGTGTAACCACACACTGCTGTTGGGTGCACACCCAGGCGTGGAGCTGCTGGGTCACTGGATGCCCAGCAGACACTAGCAAGGGATGTTTTGAAGTGGTGGGACCATTTTCACACTCACCGATAGTGTAAGGGGGCCTTTCCTCTGCAGCTGTTGGTGGGTAGTGTGATCTCACGGTGGCTTGAGTTGGCATGTCCCCAATGACTGATGTTGTCAAGTGCTTCTCACCTGTTTCTTGGCCTTTGCATAAACTTTTTGGGGAGGTGTTTTTGCAAGCCTTTCACTCGTTTATTTAAAATTGGGTGGTCAGTTTTCTTCTTATTGGTCTGTGGGAATTTGTCCATCTGGATGCAAGTCTTTTGTTGGATATTACCTGGAATCAGCCAAACTCAAGTTCAGGGACACAGTTCTCCAAAGACTTTCCTCATTTCAGATGCCAGTTGCAAATTTGGGGGTTCCCAGGGTCACCTTCACTTCTTACCAGTGGGCTGCAGATGTGGAGTCCCCATGGACTCCCTCCTGTTCGATAATTCACTGGAACAACTTACAGAGCTTAGGAGAGCCCTGTGCCTGTGAGGACAGCAGACACTCATTGTAGTAGAAGGATACAAGTCAGGGTAGCCAAAGGCAGCGGTGCAGAGGATGAGGTCTGGGGAGCTGAGCAACCAGCTTCTGCTGTCCCCAGGGCACGCTACCCTCCCGACACATGGATATGGGACAATATTCTTTGAGTGTTGTCATTTGGGGATTTCACTAAGGTTTTGGTGTCCAGTTTTTTATCGGGGTTTTATTGCATAGGCGTCCCCATAGCTAAACTCAGGCTCCGGACCCCTACGCACACCAGAGACCAGGCTGATGTCAACTGGTGCAAAGTCCCAACCCTCTAATCACGTTCTGGGTCCTCCTCGGGAGGCCAGCCCCCACCCAGAATCACCTCATCGGCATAAACTACCTAGGGGCCCTCCATGAGTCACCTCATTAGAAGAAATTATCAAAGGTGGCCGGAAGGGCCCCTGGTCCCTCTCAGCCTCCCTGTTGCCCCCAGGAGCTCCAGCGGCCTCTCCCCAAACCCTGCCCTGTGGTCAGAGATCACCGTCAGTCATGTCGTCAGCCCCAGCTAGTGGGGGCACCCACCCTGGTCTCCAGGGGTCACACCAGTGGCTGCGCTTCCTGAGCCAACCACGTGTGTCATTGACCTGCATGTTACGAGGTTGGGAGGGGTTGGGGGAACAGGCTGATGTGTGGAACCAGCCGGACTCATGTCAAAAGCCCTTTCCCCTCCCCACGCCTGGCACCTGCATCACTGTCTCCTCCAGGCATGCCAGGGAGGGGCCGTCCCCATTGCCCACATGCAGATATCGTGCAAGGCAGGCATCCCTCTCCACCCTGGCCATCCCTCGACAGCCATGGGCATTGGCAAGGCAGCCGCTGTGGCTTTACTCTGCCGGGGCCCTGGGCAGCCTTGTGCAGTTCGACGCCGGCCCTCCTTCTACCGCCTGGGGGTTTGGGCTCCCAGACCTCCTCTGCTGTAAACACCAGACCTCAGATCATGACTTGTGGAAGCAGAGGGCCCAGATGCCTCATGAAGGCCTGGGAGGGGGCTGGCACCCTGGACTGGGCTCGGGGCCTGAGCAGGGCATGGGCAGGCTCTGCATTCGGCCCTGCCTCCCTTTTCCCAGGCGACTGACCACTCCTGAGGACCATGGGGCTGTATCCTGGCTGAGGGGACTGCAGGCTCCAGGGCCAGGATGCAGGAGCCTGGTGCCACCTCCACACCAATGCCCTTGCACGCCGACCCTGGCATTGCCCGCTGCCGGTGGTCAGGTGTGGAGGAGGCACGGGAGGGGCCGAGTACGGCCAGGCTCCTCCCTGGGTGCTGTGGCTGCCCCACACTGGGGGCCTGACCCTGTCGGGGAAAGATTCCTGTCTGGCATTGGCTGTGCTGAGACATCAGAGGCCAGAGCTGGAGATTTTGGCAGTGGGGAATCTTAAGGAAACAGGCACTTCTCTTTGGAAAAAGCACAAGGATTGCCCACTGCCAGAGACAGAGTGGCAGTTTTTGGTCAATCACCAACACTGGTAGATGAGCTGTGGATACGAGGGGCTGTGCCCAGAGAGGTCTGAGGCCACGGCCCAGGGGGCCAGGCCGGGCTTCAGGAGGCTCTGTCTCTGGGTAGAAGCACGCATGGACACACACACACACAGTGATACACACATTCACACCGACACACATGATCACATACCCACACACATCATTCACCCACACCCATGCACACATACCCTCGCACACCGCCTCCTACACCCACATGTGCACCCTCGCACACCGTGCCATACACGCAGGTGCACACCCTCGCACACCGCCCCCGTACACGCAGGCGCACACCCTCGCACACCGCCCCATACACACACGTGTGCACCCTTGCACATCATCCCATACACGCACACGCGCACCCTCGCACACCGCCTCATGCACACGTGCACCCTCCCACACCGCCTCATGCATACGTGCACCCTCACACACCGCCCTATACACGCACGCACGCACCCTCCCACACCGCCTCATGCACACGCACACCCTCCCACACTGCCTCATACATGCATGCGTGCAGCCTCGCAGTGTCTCATACACACAAGTGCACTCTCCCACACCGCCTCATACACACAAGTGCACCCTCGCACACCGCCCCATACATGCACATGCACACTCTCACACACCGCCTCATAAGCACATGTGTGCACCCTCGCACACCGCCTCATACATGCACGCGTGCACCCTCCGACACCGCCTCATACACGCACGCGTGCATTTACAGACACACTTGTGCGTTCTCACAGCGTGGCACGCAGTCACGCTGACACACCCCCATGGGCCGATCACACACACTTCACTGACAGTTGTGCACACACACTCTCACGCGGCAGTACTGTGCACTCCCACACCCCCAGGCAAGGGGCCTTCCAAACCCGCTCCAGCCCCTAGGGACGAGGCCAGCAGCCCCAGGGAAGCAAACTCAGGGGCTCTTTGCCTTTCTCTTCCCCGAGCCCCTCTGCTCTTCTCTCCAGCCTCAGAACCAGGCACAGGGGCAGATGCGGTGCTCCCAGCTGGAGGGCAGCCAGGCAGTGTGGACGCGGAGCCTGTCTTATCACCAGCTTCAGCTGAGGCCTGCTGCTTGTCCAGTGTCCTCAGAGCCCGGCAGGGAGAGAGCGGGAAGGTCTCACGTCCCACAGCTGGGCTTGGGAGGCAGAATCCCTCTGTGTCCTGAGCTTTAGGTTCCCCCGAGATGACACGGAGCTTGGGCTGCCCAGGGCTGGATGCTGTTCCTCCCGCTCAGGGCCCCAGCCTTTCCCCAGGAGCTCGACTACGCCACTGTGATGGCAGCTGGGGGCACTGGACGGCTGAGCAGCTCCAATTAGCTGAGTCCTCCCTACGGTCAGCCCCCAAGGAAGCTCGCTGGCCCGGCCACCTCAGGAGCTGCACTTGTCACCTGCAGATGGAGGCTCAGGGAAGAAGTTGCCCCTGGGCCTGCAGTGCCCGTGCACACCGGCATGACCTCTTTCCTCACACTTGACTCTCGGGGCCTGAGGTCGCACCACCGAGGGTCTGTTTGTTATGATTTCAAAAGTTCTCTCCAACAATTCCACCTCGCTGGGGGGAGCTGTTATTTAAACTCTTGAGATGTATTTACTTTTGGCCCAAGGTCAGGTGATGATGGTTTTCCACGGAAGCGAGCGCCAGGCCCATCTGTTTAGACAAGTGTGTATGGCGGGTGGGGCCGTGGGGCTGGTCCGGGACGTTCAGTCCAAACCGCCAGGGAGCGGACGGCCCAGGAAAATATCCGTAAACCCCGAGAGATGCTTATTGTTCTCTCACATAAAAAAATTTGGAGGCAGGGATGCCCAGCCTGGTGTGCCATTTAGTGACATTGGGGGCGGGCTTCTGGTACTTTGCTGTGCTCCCAACCTAGATCATGACTAAGATGTCACCCTAAGGCCTGAAATGGCTCTGGGACTCCAGCCACTGGAAACGACACTGGCTGCTCCGACACCCCCAGCCCCCCTCCATCTCCCCGCTTCCTCCTACGCTAGCTCTCACGCTGTTATTATTTATTTATTTATTTATTTTTGAGATGGAGTCTCACTCTGTTGTCCAGGAGTGCAGTGGCACAATCTTGGTTCACTGCAACCTCCGCCTCCCAGGTTCAAGTGATTCTCCTGCCTCAACCTCCCGAGCAGCTGGGATTACAGGTGGGCGCCACCACGCTCGGCTATTTTTTTGTGTTTTTAGTAGAGATGGGATTTCACCATGTTGGCCAGGCTGGTCTCAAACTCCTGGCCTCATGCAATCCTCCTGCCTCAGTAGTAGTAGTTGGGATTACAGGTGTGAGCTGCCATGCCCAGCTGCAGGTGCGGAAGCTGGGGGCCTCAGAGACTGTGGACTCCTGGCCGGTGAGGAGCGGCATGGGCCGGGAGAGCTGACTCTTCAGCGGGACTGAGGTGGCTGGAGCGTGACCCTTTCCTGAGGGCAAACAGGGAGGGCCTTGGAGCCCGGCGCTCAGGACAGGCCCCTGCTGGCCCGGCAGCCTGAGCTTCCACACTTTTCCAGGGCGTCTCGAGTTCGCCCACAGAGCTGTTGTTTCAGGATAAAAAATGCCCTTGTATTCCACGTTCCAGTTCAGAGGCCCGTCTGTTCCCAAGAGCGGAGGCGTCAGCCGCATGAGTCCCACCGGAAGCCGGGTTGCCGGGTCCCCGTCCCTGCCCTGCAGACGACGCATTCCGGAGCCCCCTTGGGAAGCTGCCTGGCTCTCCCAGGCCTGGCTGCCTTCGCACGAGGGCTCCGAGGCATGCTCATCCTACGTGACTGCCCGAGTGTGCACACGCCTGGCCGTGTGTGGGCGTGTGCCTGGGGCCCGAGCTCAGGAGCAAGGCCTGCGTGGACCTGTTGTCTGAAACAAGCCAGTAGACAGCTGCGTCAATGCAGGCAAGCTGAACAGGGCTGCTTTTTCAGCCTGACAACCCCAGGGGCTGAACAGGAGCTGGGGGAGGAGCAAGGGGCCGTTCCCCTGCCCCACAGCACAGCACACGACCCCGCCTTGGAACCTGGGGCCCGGGGTGAATCGAGGGTCCTGGAGCAAGAGGGGCTGCTCCACAGGAGAGCCTGTCCCGCCACCCCTCAGCCACCAGATTCGGGGCTGCTGGACTTGTTCTCAAACCTGCACAGTGAGTGACAGCTGCTGAGACGGAGGTCTCAGGCAGTGCAGGTGAATCAGCATGGACCATGGCGAGCCCGCCTTCATCCTTCTCCTGGGAGGACTCGTTCCTTAGAAGCGAACGGGGGCCTCCTCACCAGGGAAATAAAAACCAAGCAAGGGGAAAGCACGGAATGTGTGGAGCTTCCTGGGAGCCTTCTTCTGAGGCTGAAAGTGGCTCCCTGCCTGAGTTGGTCCATGCGGGAATCACAGGGAGATGGTGGCTGGGCCTGTCAGGACCTTTCAGCCCACCTGGTGGACGGGGGTCCATGAGGGTGGTGGGGGTGCAGGCGGGGTACACCTGGTGATGCAGACACAGGCCCCTTCAGTCAGCTGTTGTCACGCTAGTGCTGTGTAACACACACTCCTGATGGAAACACTGAAATAACCGCCTATGGTTCCTGCTCACCAGCTACAGCTGCTGCACGTGCCCTGCTCAGCTCCCAGCTCAGCTCCGGGCTGCAGGTGGGCTGCAGCTCCGATCCTCGTCCTCATCTCCGTTGGCCCATGGGCTGGCGAGGACACACGGCCACAGTGACACAGAGCACCAGGGGCCGACCTGGCTGCACCCACACACCCCAGCACTGCTTGTACCAAGTCCACCGACACCCACAGGCCCGAGCAAGTCACATAGCAAAGCGCAAGGCCCAGGGCTCCGGAAGCCTCCCTGAGGCTACAGCACACCCCACCTGCCCCTGAGGCTGAGGGGCAAGGCCAAGGAGAGGGGCTGCCTCTGAGTGGGCCCTCCATGCTGGCCAATGAGTCAGAAAGGAGGACCGTACACCTTGCCAGTGGGAAGATGCCGCGCTCTGCCTTTGCGCTGCTCTGTACCTCAGCGTCCCTCCAGCTAACTCAGGAGACACATCCTGGCTTTCCCTCCACCTATTTGGAAAGGGAGCTCGCTGGGCCAGCCAGGAAAACGCAGTGGGATTTGATTCTGCGCAGCCCCGTCCTGGGGGTGCCCCAGGAAGAAGTGCTGTGCCAGCACTGACCGACCAGTTCTAGACTCAGCCTGGCTTCTGCGTCCACTCAAGGGAGATGGGTTTGTGTCGGCAGAGAGGGCCTCTCCCTAGGTTACCTTACCTTGCTCTGTTTTGGGGGATCCCTCACCTGGCTCTGTTTTGGGGGATCCCTCACCTGGCTCTGTTTTGGATGCAGAGCCCTTGATGAGGTGGGTTGTTTGAGGGGTGGACCTGGGGATTTGACCCAAACTTCCTAATCCGCCAGAGCCCTCGTTGACTCAGCAGCCTCCACCCCCAGGCTTCTCTGTGCAGGCAGAGCCCGGCCCGGCCTGGAGAGCTCAGGACAGCGCGGCTTCGGGCCGGCCCTGCAGGAGTGCCGGGTGGGTGTTTTGTGTGTCCCCATCTCTGCCTGTATCAACCCTAAAACATACATCATGTGTACTTGATCCCCGTTCTCCTCATTTCCTGCAACACTATTGTGTGGACGCCATTTAGGGGCTGCTGACGGTAACTCACGTGGCCGTGGCTATCCCTGAGCTGCTCTGGGACTTCCTGGGTCAGTCAGTGTGGGAGCTGACCAAACTCTGAGGAGCTTAGTGTCATACTAATTTTGCCATTGACCCCGTTGTGGACCCCATCCTCTCCCCAAACAGGAGAGAATTTTGCCTGGAGAATTCTGAAGCTCGCCTCGAGGTTTCCGTCAGCCCCCTCTTGACCCCGGAGCTGCCCAAGGACACGAGCCTGGAGACACGTGTCTGATGTTCCGCAGTGACTGCTGCATGCTGGAGTCTGATGTGGCGGGACAGGCCCGGCGTATGCTTGGCGCCACGGTGTCCTTTCTCAGCCACTCGGCACTGGCAGGCAGGGTGTTTGGAACAGCATTGCAGATGGGTGTCAATGATAAGGTGAGGCTCCTATCACGGGCAGCGATTATTCAGCAGGGGACCCGTGGCTGCTCTGCCTTGTGTTGGAAAAGCTCTCATGGCCTCAGTTTCTTCCTCTGGAACTGATGCAGGACAGTGAGCCCCAAAGCTGGGGCTTAGCCCAGGAAGGTTCTTGGGTTCACTAGGGAGGAATTCCAGAGCGAGCGGGAGGTGGAAGGAAACAGCTTCACTGAGGTGGCCGTGTCACAGCTCCGTGACTGTGCCTGCAGGGCAGAGCCCCTCCCCCAGCCCCGCAGCATGGGGAGCAGCTGCTCAGGGACAGGCCTGCAGTCATATTTATACCCGTTTTTAACCATATGAAAATTAAGGGGTGAGTTATTCAGAAATGTCTAGAAAAAAGGAGGCAACTTCTTGGTCATTGCCATGGAAAGGGGTGGTAACTTCTGGGTGTGGCCATGGCCCTGGCGGGCGTGTCTTATGGAGAGGTGCTCCTGACTCCTTCCTGTTTCAACAGTCCTCAATCTGGTCCGGAGTCAAGTCCCACCTCCTACCTCCATGGTTTCTACCTGAAAAAGCACTGAGAAGACTCCGCAGGTGAACGTGCAAATCTGGGGTGCAGGGGAACTCGTAGGGGGATACAGGCTGAACTATGTCCCGCATAAATGATATGTCGAAGCCCTAACCCTCAGAACGTGACCTTATTTGGATAAGGTCTTTAAAGAGATGAGTTAAAAGGAGGCGTGAGGTTGGGCCCTAACTCAGCATGGCTGGTGTCCTTATAAAGAGAGGACAGGTGGACAGAGACAGGCACAGAGGGGCGCCCATGAGGACGCGGGGAGAAGACGGTCACCTGAAAGCCAAGGGGAGGAGCTCAGAGGAACTGGCCCTGCCACGCCTTGACCTTGGATTTCGGCCTCCAGAACAAGAGAAGATCCGCGTCTGCTGCTGGAGCCTCCGGCTGGGGTCCTTTGTGGTGGCCACCCCGGTGAACTCACACAGGACGTGTGAACTCACACAGGACACGCAAAAGTTTCCCCAGTGTCTCCTCTGGAACTTCCTGGTGTTTTGAAGAAGGCACTCCATTTCTGAAGGGCACTGGCAGCATATTTCTGTGTTTAGAACTTTTCCCATGCATATTTTTGAACAAGTATTTTAGGAAGATAAATATCAGCACGTTTTGCTGCTGTTGAGAGGGTCTGTGGGGTCTGTTTAGAAAATACGTGATGGTTCTGACCACAGAGCCCCGGGCATCACCGGCCACACCGTTGCCCCCGGGAGGGGTCAGCAGAGCCCCCGTGGTCCAGACAGGCAGAGCCTCTGTGTCCGGGGTGGCTGTGGGTCCTCAGGACGCCTGCCCGGCTTGAGTGTGTCTGTTGCTTAGCTTGTTTGGGGGCAGAATTAACCCAGTGCCTTCGCCAATTCTATTTGTTTTTGTCCGGGAGTTGGTGATTAGTGCAAACATCAAGGACACATGTTTTGAGGGCCTTATGTGCCAAGGGGCAGACAGAGGGCTTGTGTGTTCGGTGGGGGTCAGGACCTTGTCACTGAGCTTCCCTGACCCTGGAAGCCCAGGGTGGCCGCCTGCTTCCCCCATGGGCTGCTGAGTGAAATGGGGGTTCCTGAGGAGCAGTGACGGGGAGGTCCACCCAGGTCGCTGGGCCATGTGGTGAGAGCCTGCAGGTGGCACCGGACACGCCTGGGTCGCCCCTGCCATTGTGGGGCTCCCGCTACCCAGCTGCTGACAGAGCCACTGCTTTCCCCGGGTATAGCGCATGTGGAGGGTGGAATCCCACGTGTGGGTCCAGTGCCCACATGTCCTGACCTCAGGAGCACACGATGGTCTTGGGCCCCGCAGCATCCAAGAGACACCTGGATAAGGGCCAGGAGGTGCATGGCACGGGCTCCCTGGGAGGCACTCGGTTTTCATTATTTACTATTGAAAACTAAGAGCAGCCAGGTGGAACCTGGAGCTCCCACCGCAGTGGACTTCGTGGCATTCTCTGCAGCATCACGTGGCCTGGGGCAGGGAGCCCAGCTCGCCTCCTGCCCTGCTCGGCCCCGGGCTTGCAGCCACAGCGCCCCTCTGATCTCGGCCTTCGGCTGCGCGTGGCTCTCCCTTGTGTGTCTGTGTCTCTCTTCTCATGGGGACACCAGTCACATCGGGTCAGGGTTTATCCTATTCTAGTGGAAGCTCGTCTTAATTTAACTATTTCCATCTGCAAAGACCCGATTTTCAAGTAAGGTCACGTTCGCTGGTGCCAGGGTCACGGCACCCACATATTTTTTGGGGGGGACACAGGGGACCTGTAACAGATGGCAAGGCAGCCCCTCCCTTTAGGAGCAGGACTTGGCCGAAGTGCAAGGGTGGGCCATGAGGATGTGGACGCACCGCCCCGACCAGTGACCATGGGGGTTTGTGGGAGCTGTTTCTCACCGGCAGGCCCTGGGAACGTAAATGCAGGCTGTCTGGGAGGTCGCCAGGGCTGCCCCCTCTGCATCTTCCTGCGGGCAAAGGACATTTGCAGCCACGGTGCTGGGGAGCCAAGGAGATGCCGCGATGCAGCCACCCTGGGCCCTGCAGTGGTGCAGATGAACCACCTTGTGAGCAAGTGAAGAGGGGATGGGTGAGCCCACCCACAGCAAGGGGAGAAGGAAGTCCCCACTCACGCGGACACCGAGAGATCCTGCCCAGTCACCACTGCAAGGCCAGGAGTGGGGACCTGCAGTGCCCGGGTCCCTGTCCAGTCCGTAGGGCAGCTGGAGGGGGGTGGGGCAGGGAAACTGTCAAAGTACAGCAGTACAAACCTGGCCAGAGCCCACTGTGCGAATGCCCATTGGGACTTCGTGGGCCTCGGGGGCCTGAGGCTCAGTGGAAGAGAATTAAGACTTTTCTCAAAGTAGAAAAGGAAGAGGAGAATTCCTTTCCTTTCCCTCCTCCAGGGGGTGGAGGCATAAAGGGACCCCCAGGCAGGCACAGCCCGGGGGCCACGCATGCACCCTTCATTCCTCCACTGGCTGACAGTGTGTGCATGAGCGTGGATGGAGCGAGTGCTGCCCTCCGTGTAGGGGAGCCCTCCCAAGAGCACCCCACAAGCCAGGGAGCCCCAAGCAGCCCCCAGCGGGTCTGGGATCCGGTCCTGGGTAAGCGTACTGTGTCTCCTAGAGCATTTTTTAGGGGTGGCCGGAGGGACAGGCATGGGGAAGAAGTGAGCCTGTTCTCGGAGCTACCCCCCATCATCCAGAGGCATACAGGACAAGGCGCCCCTCCTCCCTCCACCAGCCCCACCCAGAAGCCCCTGAAGGCAGCATCAGGCACCCCAAGGATGAGGTTGGCTGCTGAATCTCCAGCGGTGACAGCTTGGTCTTCCAGCAAAATCTCCAGGTCCCAAGGAGTTCCAGCAGTATCCTGAGACCCCCTAATGCAGCGTGCCTGCCCTCGCCCATGATGGCCTGGTTGTCAAAGGGCGAGGCCAGCCCAGCATCACCCACAGCAGTGCATCCATGGAAACACACTCCTGGGGAATTAAAGACGGGTGTCACGTGCTCCCAGTCGGGCCAGGATGGAAAGGGTCTTCTCATCTTTCCAGTTGGTGCAATGACAGCCAATTTCGACATGAGCAGGTGCGCAGGAAGCAAGGGCAGCACCGGCCCAGGAGGGCCTGGTGATGTGTACGGTTATTATTGGAAGTGTGATGGCAGTCGGGAGTGCAGGGCCATGAGTCACACCCAAGGTGACCTTGAGTCATGCATCTGCCCGGCTCTTGGGCCTCGGGCTAACCAGCTCCCCGCCTCCTCTCCACACAGGAGACCACAGAGAGGTTTTCCGAGCCTGGCTGCGGGTGGGGCAGCCCCACCAAGTGTCTGGGGCCAGCGGCTCCCCAGTGTTCTCCTAAGCCTGTAACTTCCCTGGGGATCCCTGGGACTCGCTGTCTCAGACAGAGCCTCACCCACCTCGGAGCTGGTTCTCCTGATACCACAGGGCCCAAGGGTATCGTGGCTGCCAGGGTGGGGCAGGACCAGAAACTGAACTGGCTGTACTCAAGAATGCAAATGGCGTGAGAATAGGGAAGGGTGCCGGCCACAGTGACACTGGCAGCTGCGTCCTGCCCACACAGCTGGCATGGGAATTCCCCACCTGGAGCACACGCTGCTCATGTCTTAGTTGAGGAAGGGATAAGGGGCTAAGGAGGGGGTGTCCCTGACCAATGGGACCTGGGGTCTAACCTGACCCACAGGATGGCTGCTCTGTCCACCCCAGCCCTGTGGACATCTCTTGCCCACCCAGCCATGGCAAAAATGAGGAGCCCCCGACCATGGTGACCCTGTCTGCCAGCCCCAAATTTGGGACTCAGAGTTGGACAGGCCAGAGTGCGGAGGAACACCAGCCCCCTGGAAGCCCCCTGGAATACGAAGCCGTCACCGCTGAGATCATCCCTAAGTGCCTGCTGATCACCCCTCCCTCCTCCAGACGGAAGGAAATCCTACAAAGGAAACACACGTATCAGACTTTCTACACCTCCCAGCTAGACTCTCTTTCACCATGGGCTAACACCACAGAATGACCTTACAGGTTCTAGAAACATGGACATCCGCCCCAGGGCTTTGATTGGGGAACGGAGCCCCTGCTTTTCTAGAGTGAATTTTTTGAGCAGCTTGCAACCTCTGTCAGTAATTTGTCTCTTATTCTGGAGGGTGCCAGGCAGGAGGAGACGGTGGGCTTCCTGCTGATCCAGGCCCACCCTTTGCGGATAAGATGAGGCCTTCCCTGCTAGTGGGAGCCAGGCCTATGGGGCGGGGACAGCCTGGGCCCTCCCAGGGAGTGTAGAGGAGGAGGATGTGCTGGAAGGATGGCACCCCAGCCCGGAAGGACCCCCGCCCAGGACAGCCAGGCCTCTTGCCACAGGGGACACTTATGCCCCACACAGAAAGCACCCCGTTTCTCAGGGCTTCTCATGGGCAAAGTAACCCCAGAGACCCTGGAATGAAACTCATGCGTCTGTGAAATAAGACCAGGATTAAGCATCTGATGAGATTGTGTTGGTGGAAAAGGTCGGTAAAGAGGGTGTGAGCTTGGTGCTGCCCTGGTGAAGGAAAAACCTACCCAGAATTACTGTGGGTCACATAGGCCGGGTGAGCAAAGCCAGAGGCTTTTCCAGACCCCCTCTGGCTGGGTCTCCTTGGAGGGCGAGTGGATGGGAGGGGCAGGGAGGCCTGCAGGGATTGCCTCCAAGTGAGAAGCTTGGCCAGGCCGCAGATCCAGGCAGCTGGTGTTTTACTTTACTTATCTCTTCTCTCCTTTTTTTTTTCTGTTTAGTTTTTTCTAACACTTTTCTGTCTACTTTCAACAAGTTAAAGAACTTTTTGTTTTATTTATTTATTTATTTTCCTGTGGTAAAATATGCATAAGATAAAATTTGCCATTTCAGCCATTTTTAGGTGCACGGTTCAGTGGCATGAAGCATATCCACATTGTTGTCAGTCATCACCACCACGCATCCCCAGAACGTTCCATCCTCCCAAACTGAAACCCCATCCCCATTGAACACTCCCTCCCCATGCCCCTCCTCGGTCCCCAGCACTCACCGTTCCACCTCCGGTCTCTACGAACCAGACTCCGCCAGGGACCTCATACAGGTGGAACCACCCGGTGTCAGTCCCTGTGTACCTGGCTTATTTCACTCAGCATCATGTTCTCAAGGTCGGTCCTTGCTGTGGTGTGTGTCAGGATGTCACTCAGCATCATGTTCTCAAGGTCTGTCCATGTTGTGGCGTGTGTCAGGATGTCACTCGGCATCATGTTGTCAAGGTTGGTCCTTGCTGTGGCGTGTGTCACGATGTCCTTGCTTTCTGAGGCCAGATCCTATTTGGCATGCATAGACCATCTTTTGCCTGCTCACGCCTCTGTCCATGGGCCCTTGAGTGGCTTCCATCTGTCGGCTGCTGTGAATAAACCTGCTGTGAACATGGGTGTACAAATATCTCTTTGAATCTCTGCTTTCAATTCTTTTGGGTATATACCCAGAGAAGAAATTGCTGGATCACGTGGTAATTCGATGTTTAACTGTTTTGAGGAGCTGCCATACTTCACAAGTTTTTGAAGGTTTAGGGTTTCTTTGGGAGTTTCCGTTATATTTTTTTTAATAGTGTCACAGAACTAATTTTGATGAAAAACACTCATTCTCTATCTTCTCATTCTGGGGGAATAAATTAGTGTGATTTGAATATAATGTAATTGCATGCAAATCCAGCCACAAAACCGGGCGCTGCGCACTGGCAGAGGGTCAGGAGTTGTGCCACCTTGCTAGGGAGGAAGGAGGGTGTGTTTCCATGATATGCCAGCGGTCGGTCCTCTTAAAAGGGTGTGTATTCTCTTGCTGACTGTTTAGAATTGGCAAGATGTGGTAATAATAGTTGGTTTTACTATCATTTTTAGATTCTTTACAGGCATCACACTCCCTGATTGTCTTGTTCCCTCCTATTACACTACACACCTGCTATACCACTGATCATAGCTATAGATGCCTAGGACTGTAACTGATACAACAACAAAGCTACAAATGGCTCCAGGCCCGGATAGTTTCACAGGCCATTCCACCACACTGTTAAGGAACAGATAATATTTAAATGGATGCAAAGCATAAATAAGGAAAGAAAATTTCTAAATTCTCTTTATGAAGCTACCATAAGAATGATGCCAAAACCCAAAGAGACAAGCACAGAAAGAAAATCATAAGCCAATCTTATGAATGAACACCAACACAAAAATGTGAATTAAATTGTCTAAAAACTGTAAGCCATGACCTAGGAGACTTGAAGATGGTTTGATATTAGGAAATATCTTAAAATAGGTCTTCACATTCATAGAGCCTATAAAATTGCAGTAGTTGGGACATGGACCCCCTAGTCGGACAGCAAAGAAATTAGGCAGAGGAACCAAAAATGGATCCAAACACACCCACCTAGTTAGGACATAGGAGAGGTGATTTTTGCCTATCAGTGTGATGAATTCCAGTTGTTCAGAAGACACCAACTGAATTACAACTAAATAGTTTTCTAGAAAAAAATAAAATTGCATTTCTACTTTATTCCCTAAGGCCTCCATATGTTACAGCTACAGCAGATATTTTTATAAAGTTGGAAACCATAAACATACTAGAAGAAAACAGAGAGCCATTTCCTTTACTAGTTTTAGAAGGAGAAGATCTTCTGAAATAGAACACAAACTCAGAAGCCATAAACATGGATTAAAAGAAATAATAATAAAGTTAAAAATGTTTGCCTGGTGAAAAACACAACCACCATAAACAAAGACAGGTGAGAAATGAAATAGTATCTGCAATGCAAGGCACAGGAAAAGCTTCATTTGGTTCATACATAAAGAAGTTCTAGAAATCAATGCAATGAAGACCAACAAAGTGATAGAAAATGGGCGAAGTACAAAAACAGTTCACAAAACAGAAATGTGAAGGCTGTTAAACATATGGAAAGATACACACACTAATGGGAAAAAAGAAAGAATGCAAGTTAAAATCAGAATGTAAGACTGTTTTTAATCTATCCGACAGCCAAAGACAAAAGCATGAGAACCCTCTGTCAGTGAGGAGTAGGAGAGAGGCTCCTAACCGATTACTGGTGTGAGCAACTTGTGATGCCTTCTTTGAAATAGGTATAGAAACGTAGAGTGCACACACCCAGCAGCTCTGCAGATAGGTGCACACAAGTGCTAAATAACATATGCACAAGTCTACTGACACAGCTTTACCTGCAAGTTGTCAAAAGCTGGAAACTGCTCCAACATGCCCAGATAAGAGTCTGGAGAAATAAATCATGCTACACCCAGACAGTGGGATTCGTGTCAGGCAGCTGTTAAAAAGCGGGAGGTGGCTTTATGTGCAGCAATGCACAAATTACTGCTTAAAGCAGGAAGCCAGGTGCAGCATGCAGAACACTCCCTGGGCAGCAGCACCTCTGGAGAGGTGCGTGAGTGCCTGGGGCTGCCATAACCAAGCACCACAAACCGCCTGGCTTAAAACCTATCCTCTCACAGTGCTGGGGCCAGAAGTCCAAAGTCACAGTGGCAGCTGCACCACGCCTCCTCTGAGGCCTCCCAGGGAGAACCCGTTGCTTATTCCAGCTCCTGGTGGCTCCAGGTGGCCTCTGCCTCCATCTTCACATGACTCCTCCCTGTGTGTATCTTCTCCCCCTCTCTTCTAAGAACACTGTCATTGGATCCGGGCCCGCTCCAATTCAGGATGACCTCACCAGAAGGTCCTTAATGACATCTGCACAGATCTTTTTTCCAAATTCAGTCACATTTATAGGTTCTGGGTGGATGCATCTTTTAGGGGCTCACTATTGTCTCCCTAAAAGAAAGAAGCGGAGGCAAAATTAATCTAAGTGGAGAGTTTATTTGGGCCAAGCTTGAGGATTGCAATAGATTCCATTTGCCCTGGATCTACACTCTGATGAGCAGCAGTTCACGTGGCTTGTAAAGGAAAGTGGGGGTCAGGGAGTCGGCTGATACCAAGTTTTCTATCAGGAATTCTCATTAGTTTACAGAAATAGCATTGATGAGTGATTGGCTGTATGTTGTTAAGATATAGGGTGTGGGTTACGGTGTCCAGTGGGGCATTACTGGGTTAATCCGTAGCTACTTGTGGCAACAGGAAGCAGTTTCCAGACATGAACACACAGCTCAAAGCAGGGAGCAGGGTGTGACCACTGTCTCATTTTAAGGTCTCTCTGCGCCTGATAATTAAAAGCACTCACATTCCACAGGCAAAACTTTTTTTCTCACCATTTA
Source organism: Homo sapiens (assembly GCF_000001405.40). Lineage (NCBI taxonomy): Eukaryota > Metazoa > Chordata > Mammalia > Primates > Hominidae > Homo > Homo sapiens. Next base: position 43,312,318 of record NC_000021.9, read on the forward strand.
AACCATTACTGCTGGAAACAGAGGTAAGGAAGAGATCATGGCCTGCCCTCTGAGATTTTATACCATGCCTGGAATGACCTATTATCAAAATAAGTAGCTGGAGCTATTCCATGGCAATGAGGAGGTCTGTGCATAAACTGTCTCCCAGTGGAGGACCGGCCACACCCACACCCTCCCATGCTAAGGACGGGCCCAGAGCCCTTGAGGGGCACCTTGACCCCCCAACACCACTCTGGAGCTGGGCTTCCTGTCTGCTTGCTGCTCTTATATCATAAGTAGAGAGATCATCTCTTTCTCTCTCTCTCTCTGTCTATATATATATATATAAATTAAATCTCTTATTTCTAACAGTGCAAAATTCTTTATTAATGCCAACATTTTTCCACTTTATGGTAACTCACTCATCTATTATTTTAGTTGGCCGCCCCACTCCATAAACACACACACACAGGCGCGCTGGCCAGGTGAGGAAACCACAGGGCAGTAGCAGGTGTGGGGACAGGCACCCAGTAGGTGGGGCAGGTGCCCTCCTCCCTCCGTAACAGGCGGGTCCAGGAACAGCTATGCTTTTCTGGCTCCCACTCAACTCCCCCACCCCCAGCATTCCCAGCAAAGGGCTTCTCCCTTCCCCATGGGGCCCCACAGATTTGCATGTGAGTGACCCAAAGCTAGGTCAGTCATAGGCAAACGGGTCTATGCAAATATTCTGTGTTAGCCAGATTGCTTCTGCGAACTCAGGGTTTTCTGGTGTAGCCATCTCCTTCCTGGGCCTTCTGTGAACTCAGGGTTTTCTGGTGTAGCCATCTCCTTCCTGGGCCTTCTGTGAACTCAGGGTTTTCTGGTGTAGCCATCTCCTTCCTGGGCCCTTTGGTCTGCTCTCCATTTGTCCTGAGAATAAACCCTGCTGCCCCACCCCCCACCCCAGTGCCCACCCCCGCCCCCAGCACCTCCTCCTGATTCACCGAAGTCAGGGTTGCACAAAATCCTTCACCTGTGAACCTGCGTCCTTAAACGTGCAGCCTGGGATGTGGAGGGGAACCTGGGGAGGTTTACACATTTTCCCAGCCAGACCCGCAGTATCAGTGGTTCTCAACCAGGGGTGGTCTAGACCCGGGGACTTCCGGTGAGGTCTGCACACAGTCTGGGTTGCCACACTTAGGAGGGGAGGGGCACCATTCAGCATTCTGCAGTGCACAGGACAGCCCCTGCCAGAAGGAATTTTCCAGCCCCAAATGTGAGCGGCATGAGCCAGGGCCTGAGTGTCGGGGCTGATGGTAAAGATATCCCCGGCAGAGAGGGTTAAATTCTTCCAGGGGAGTTCAGAGGGTCCTGTGCTTCTCTGTGAGGAGCGTGTCCCCCTTCGAGGCAACCCTCCTAGGAGACAGGCGGGGGTCCGTTCTTGTTGATCATCTCACAGAGCTGGAGAACTACAGTTATCCTGGAGGCCAGATTGGAGGCCTCTCTCCACCCAGGCCGTGGTCCGGCTCACCTGCTGCCCAGGGAGGGTGCTCACATGCACGCCCTTGGAGCCTGTTCCGCCGGGACCCTTTGCCCCACAGTGACCCCGTCTGGGTTTTCCTTGCCCTTCTCTGGACTCAGTGGTCCCAGCCCCTCTGAACTTCCCCTGTTATCTTCTTGGGACTTACCAGTTCCATTCTGAGTCCCACATTGTGGCTGGGGAGACTCGTATTGGGTGGAGCTTCAAAGCTGGTGTGACCCTGGGACAGAGGAAGGCTCTGGGGACTTTGCAGTTACGGAGACAGCCAGAAAGCCACAGTCCCTTCTCTCTACACACTGCGGTGGAAGACATGGCCCTTCCTGCCAACGTGCACCTCCCCTGGGCTCCTGCAACATCAGGGGTGGTGAAGGCACCCCCCTCCAGGAACCCTGGCCTGGTGGCCTCAGGGCACGGGGGCTTCTGGGAGCCAGAATCCGCAGACCCTGACGGCCCCAGAGTGGGGAGGCCCTGCTGGGCCCGGAGATTCTTACAGACCCCGGAGGGAACAAGAAGGCTTCTGGGGCCTCAAGTTAGGTCTTCCTTCTCCTGGTGTCTGAGGCTTCTAGAACATTCCAAAAACAAGACAGCCACAGAAGCTGGTGGTCTTGATTGGTGTGGACTTTGAGAGTGTGGCAGGATAGCAAATCCTTCTGGCTTTTGTGTCCTCCTGTAATACTCTTCTTTGTGCAATTTCTTATTGTTGGCAGGAAATCTCTTTTTCTCATGAAAAAACATTGCCTCCCCCGTGGGGTTCCGCTGTGGGGAGGCCCCTTCAGAAGGTCGGCAGGAGGAGGAGGCGAGGTGGGGCTGCCCAAGGCCACTGTTGAGGGTCCCCCACCCCTGTCCCTGGTTGGCACTGCACTGGGGTATTGGTCATACAGTGGGGGGGCACCTCCCGGATCGTGGCGGGGGCGGGAGATAGAGGCTCGTAGGGTGGCAGAGCCACAGGCACAGCACACAGAGATGCCCTGGAGGGGCTCTGGAGAGAGGGGCCAGAGTTGTTTTTAAAAACACGTACAGGCCGGGTGCGGTGGCTCACGCCTGTAATCACCTGTAATCCCAGCAGGCCGGGTGCGGTGGCTACGCCTGTAATCCCAGCAGGCCGGGTGCGGTGGCTCACGCCTGTAATCCCAGCACTTTGGGAGGCCAAGTTAGGTGGATCACCTGTGGTCGGGAGTCCGAGACCAGCCTGACCAACATGGAGAAACCCCGTCTCTACTAAAAATACAAAATTAGCCTGGTGTGGTGGCTCACGCCTGTAATCCCAGCTACTCGGGAGGCTGAGGCAGGAGAATTGCTTGAACCCAGGAGGCGGAGGTTGCAGTGAGCCGAGATCACGCCATTGCACTCCAGCCTGGGCAACAAGAGCAAAACTCTGTCTCAAAAGAAAAAAACATAAAATAAAAACAAAAACAAAACAAAAACAACAACAACAAAAAACCACACAAATAATTTTCGTTGCTGATTATAAAAAAGAGCTGAGTTTTGGAGTCAGATAAGAGTGTTCTAGTGGCAGGAAGAGGGCAGCACTTGCGGGAAGGCAGGCGCTTTCCGACAGCAGGGTGTGTGAGGGGAACACAGCAGGGCAGGTGGCTGCAGCCTGGGTGAGCAGGGTCCTGCGACCCACCCAAGGGGGCTCCTGAGTGAGGGTCCCCAGCCACTGCCAGAAGGCGCCTGAGGCTAACGGTGTGGAGGACGCCTGGGGAGGAGGGAGACTGGGAGGGATGCGCCTTGGAGAGAAGCACCCCCTTGAAGAGCTGCAGGGGCCCCTGTGGGCAGCGGACAGGCAGCCAGGAGGGAGGCTGGCAGGAGGGGCAGAAAATGGGCTGGAGCTCGGCAGGCGGCTAGTGAGGGATGGGGGCCCTGATGGTGCCTCCCACATTTCTCTTGGGGGACTTAGCGTGTGCCCTGGCTTTTTAGCTTGGGTTGTGACACCATTCACCATGCCTGGAATTTGAGGGCAGGACAGGAGTGCGGGGTGGGGGCCGAGGGACCTCAGCTGTGGAGGTTGGGACGCTGCAGGCTGCCCAGAGACTGTGGGGAGGCTTTTGGGACTTCGAAGCTATGGGGAAGTCTAAGCAAGTTTACACTTGTGTGTGGCCGTGGGGAGACCGAGGCTGAGGGCTGGTGCCCATCCTGCAGGTGCAAGGTTAACCTCTCCCTGCTCACAGGGGCCTGGCAGCCTCGGCACCCAGGGACGATGGCCCAGCCGCCCCAGGGACCACTGACTGCCGGCGGGCTGGGCGCATGCTCATGAGAGCAGTTACTTTGTGCATCTGCGCGAGAACCACAAGATGGGATTTATTGGTTCCATTTCAGTAGGAGGAAACTGAGGCTCAGAGAGGCTTCGCACTTCCCCTGCTTGTGCTTGGAGGTGGAGGGCGCAGGATTCCAGGAGGGACTGGCCGGCCCCTCCCACTGAGGTTTTCACCATCTGCCCCTACCCCGGGCAAGACATCTGCCTTGGGAGTGGGGTCTGGGCTGGGGCCGGTGGAGCTGAGAGAGTAATGAGCAGCTCCCAACGCAGAAGGAGAAATGCGTGAAAACATGGAGCCCCAGTTGTCCCCGAAGTGGTGGAGGGTGTCGGGGGTGTCGGAGGGGGGCAAACCCGCTGAGGCATGGGGAGCACCAGAGAGGTGGGGGAGCGGGAGGGGGACACTGCCCAGGATGGCAGAGGCACCAGAGGGGGTCTGAAACCCTTCCAGGCAAGCTCAGGACCCCTGAGTCCAGCTGAGTCCCCAGCAGCTGCACAGAGCTCAGGGCGGGGGCCAGCAGCCGTGGAGCTGGGGGGCTGAGGGAACATCTGCAAGGACGTGCTCCACCCAGGCAGACGCCACAGGACATCTCTGGACCCCATGCAGCCAGGCCAGGAGGCAGGATCCAGGCATGCAGCCCCTGGGTGACAGACACCTGGGCACCAGGGCGAGAGGCATCAGAGCCAAGGGAACCTCCTGGCAGCCACTGCCACCTAGACACTCCCGCAGGTCCCTGAAGGGCCTCTGCGAGGGTGAGTCTGTTCTGCTTGGGGTCACCCATAGAGACAGGCCCACAAACGGGCCCACAAAAGATATGTTCACGTCAAATCCTCGGAATCTTTGAACATGACCTTCTTTGGGAAAATGGGTTTTGGAGATGTAATTAAGTTAAGGATCTTGAGATAAGGTCATCCTGGATTATCTGCGTGGACTTTACATCTAACGACAGGTGTCCTTCAAGAGACACAGACACAGAAAAGAAGGCCATGATGATGGAGGCAGAGATCGGAGGGCGCAGCCACAAGCCAGGGAAACCTGGTCTCCTCCACCAGGAGCTGGAGGAGACCAGGAAGTATTGTCTACGGCCACGCATTCTGAATGTGCTCAGTTTCGCCTAATCTTGGTGAAACCAAGGAAACATCCTCCCCTGGAGCCTTCAGAGGGAGCACAGCCCTGCTGGCATCTTGGATATCAGGTCTCTAGAACTGCGAGAGAATCAATTTCTGTTGTTGGTTTTGTTTTGTTTTGAAGCAGGATCTCACTCTGTAGCCCAGGCTGGAGTGCAATGGTGCAATCACCGCTCACTGCAGCCTCTACCTCCCAGGTTAAAGTGATCCTCCCACTTCAGCCTCCTGAGTTCCTGGGACCACAGGCACACACCACCACGCCTGGTTAATTTGTGTGTACGTGTAGTTTTTGTAGAGATGGGGTCTTGCTATCTTGTCCAGGCTGGTCTCAAACTCCTGGACTCATGCCATCCGCCCGCTTTGGCCTCCCCATGCGCTGGGATTACAGGCGTGAGCCACCGCACCCAGCCAATTTCCCTTGTGTTAAGCTGTGTGTGTGATAATATGTTAGGGTGGCCTCAGGAAACGCCCACCTAACTTGGGAAGATGAGAACAGGGAAATCTATACCAGCTTGTGCGTGAGAAGTTTCAGACACAATAATTACTCAGATGTTCTTTCATGGGAAATCAAAGCAGAAGACATCCGAATGTTCAGGGTTTAGATGTAGGTTCTGTCCCTGAATGTACTGCAAATCAAAGACAAACGTGGAGGGCGATCTGGCCCAGCCAGAACATCAGGTCGTTCCTTATGCTGCTCTATCATCAGCTCTCCGTGGAGCCAGGTGGCTGCTTGGGCACTTGAGCCAGCAGGAAAGAGGAGAGGATGAAGGAAGGACGTCGTCTGCCCCAGCTGCTGTAACACACCGTAGGTGGTGGCTCGAGCCGCAGGCATTTCTTTCCCCAGCTCTAGAGGCTGGAAGTCTGAGATCTGGGCCGGCGAGGTTGTATTCTGGGGAGGGCTCTCGAATTGGCTTGCAGATGGTCATTGTCTTGTTGTATCCTCAGATGGCAGAGAGAGGGAGCCCTGGTGCCTCTTCCTCTTCTGAAAGGGCGCTAATCTCATCAAAAGGGCCCCCTCATGACCTCATCTAAATCTAATTATCTCCCAAAAGCCCCATCTCCAAATCATGCCACATGGGAAGTTTGGGCTCCAATGTGAATTTGCAGGGGACACAGTTCAGTGCACAGCAGAGGGCATGGTCCTGCCTGTTAAGGATGCTTTCCGGAGGTTGCACACAACACTTCTGCTTAAAATTTGGGCACCAAAATTTAGGCACATGGTCACAGCTGGCTGCGAGGGGGAATGGGAATTGTATCCAGCTAAAATTAAGGAGTTCATATTATGACGTGCTCCGATAAGAGTAGGGATTCAGACTTTCCCCATGTCCCTTCGTTGCTTCATGCCTCTTCACAGTCCTTCATATCGATCCTGCCGTCTCATGGTCCAACGTGGCTGCCTGAGTACCTGTCATCACCTCTGCATTCCAGCCAATAGACTATGCCTCACTTAGTCCTGATGTAGTGTGAGGAATGCAGTCTCTTATCTGAATGCAGTGTGTCCAGTGAAAAGCTGGGGTTCTTGTTATTCAGGAAGAAGGATGGAAGGGCTGGGGGTAGTTAGCAGAATTTTGCCCACTGCCCTTATTGCCCCAAGGACTCTGGGTAAAACACTGACATGTAAACTGCCCTCCTGTTTGATCATTGGCTGCTCAGAGTCCATCCCTGCAAAGCCCACACCATAAGCTCCCCAAGTGCATGAGTCACGACTTTTCTTCTTCTTGCTCCTATAGGGTCTAGGCTGACACCGGGCAAGTCCCAGGGGGGTTAGCTGGGCATGCGCTGGCTAAGCTGAAGATGGGCTGTACCGAGCCAAACCATGGGATGGGGAAGCAGCGCCAGCAGTGGCTGCCTGACCTCCAGGTAACCCACCGTGCACCCGATGCTGGGTGCCTCCCCTGAGCGCTCTCAGCTTAGGCTTTCTGCACCTGGCTTCCCCACCAGAAGGACTTTCCACCCACACCCTCTGCAAGGCTTCAGAACTCTTTCTAACAAACCCCAGGGGGAGGGAGCGCGTTTCCCCGCAGCCAGACACGCTCAGTGACATTCTAGAGTCAAGTTCAGCGCTTGGCAAAGGCCCATTCCATAAAGGACAGATGCCCGGCCTCGGGAGGTTACAGGAATGGGGAGAAGGGTGACAGGACCCTCAGCAAGTCTCTGTGTCCAGGGGTTTCCAGCCAGCGTGGCTTGCCATGCTCCAAGCTGGGCTCAGAGGCTCTGGCTTCCCGACCCTCTGAGAGCATCTCTCTGTACACACAGAGGGGGTGGGGGCCAGTCACATCTGCTCCGGGCGATGTGACTCAGCTGTGGACGATGACGACATGATCCTGAGCATGACAGGGTGGGAAGCTTTTCCTCCTTCTCCAGGGCCTGCGAACCCTGGAAATGCATCCACGATGCAAATAGCGACAGACATCATTAGCGGACGCATCCATTCTGTTTGAGCTGGAAACGCTCAGGGCTGCAAGGCCCTTTTCTGAGAAGAGCGGTTCCTGTCGTCATCCTCCTCTGCACCGCAGCGTCTGATTCCCAGGAGGGACAGCCCGGCAGTTATAAAAGGCTCTTTCATGACAGGCCTAGAGGAATTAGAAATATAATTTTTTCAGGCGCTTCCAAAAAATCAAGTAATTAGAGCTCATGCACGTAAAAGGGCCCGCCATGAGATTTGTGGCTTGTTTTTTAAAGGAATCAATTTATATATTAAAACAATAAAATACATCCGGGGAGCACAAGCCTCTCTAATGCTTTCAGTGTCTTCTCAGTGTGGTTCCAGAAAACTCTGCCCCAGAGGAAACCAAGGACAGGGTTCCCTGGGCTGTTCCTGGGGGTTTGTGGGGGCTGCTGGGCTGGATGTAAAGTCATGTGTGTTCTCAAGGCTGGGGAAAGGACTTCACTGCTGCTGCTGACCCCAGCAATGTGTCCACTTGAATCAGCTCAGTGTAAAACAGAAAAAAAAAAGTGCTCTTGTCCTTTCAGGTCCTAATGTAGAGAGTGAAATGGCAGAAAGGATTCTATGTTAAATTTCCAGCTCGTAAAACCAGATGCAAGTTTATGCTTGTACATGGCCATGGGGAGGCCAAGGCTGGGAGGGTGGGGCCCATCCTGCAGGTGCAAGGTTAACTCTCCCTGCCCACAGGGGCCTGCAGCTTCCCCTCCCCCAGGTGATGGTTTGAATGGTATTCCCCACAAAAGATGCTGAAGTCCAACCCCCAGTACCTGTGAGTGGGACCTTCACTGGAAACAGAGTCCTGGCAGATCAGGTTAAGATGAGGTCACAGGTTGGACCCAACAAGACTGGCGTCTTTACCAAAAGGGGCGATTCTGACACAGAGGGGCATGTCCAGGGAGGACAAACTGAAGATACAGGGAGAAGACGGCCATCTCCAGGAACATCTCAGGCTGCCAGAAGCTGGCAGAGATGGGGACCAGAGGCTCCCTCACAGCCCCAGGAGGAGCCAGCCCTGACCACACCTGCATTGCAGACTTCTGGCCTCCAGGGCCGTGAGGTCAGGGATTTCTGAGGTTCAAGCCCCCCAGTGTGGTGCTTTGTTACGTAGGCTGAGCTGACTCATACACCCCGGCTGATGAAATGCTTCACCATCAGTTTCAGTTGTGAGCTGGTCATCTGGCCCCAAGAGAGCCCAGGCACCCCAGCCCACTACCCACCCTGGGTTTCTGCCCACGCCAATGGCTCCTGTGCCACCATGGCCAGGTAGAGGCACTTCCTCCACCCAGCCCTGGGTCACATGACAATTCCCTGTTCTCACTGTCCCCGTGAACCCCTCAGGGTCAGCGCTTCCACAGCCCTGGCAACCCTAGGCCACTCTGAGTGGCAGAGGCTGCCTAGCGTTTCTGACTCTGGAGACCCCTCTGTTGAGGATGGGGTCCCCTGGGTCCTGGAGCTTCCAGCACCCAGTCTCAGCTGAGGCCACCGCCTGAGCTCCTTCCTCCCAGAGGCTGAGCCGGCCTTTGGCCCCTGCCCTGGCACTGTGCTGGCTGTGCTCTCTGAGCTCATTTTTCTTGGTGGAGGCCAGGAGTTGGCTTCAGGGTACCCTTGTGTTTTCTCCTCCAAGGCCTGGGGACATATTCACAAATCCCTCCCAGGGGCCCTTCTGATGCCTTCATAGTGAGTCACTGAGGGCCCCCAAGCCTGGGGCCCAGGCCGGGTGAAACAGATTGCCCAGCACCTCCCCTCCTCCCCTTCACTGCCTTGAGAGAGGAGCGTCCTTCTCAGCTGTTTCTCCACATAGAGGATGGAGGCCACCAGGCCTCACCGTCCTGAGAGCCATCCCAAGAGCCATCCCAGGCACTGCCCTTGGAACTGGCCATGTGGCTCCAGTGTGGTTTGAGGCTTCAGAGGATTCGGGCCCATGAGGCCAGGGGAACACCCAGTGGGAGGCCTGTCCCTCCTTCCCGACCCTCCCCTGACCACATCTGGCCTCTCTTTGGGGGCCCTTCTGGGTCTGCCCTCCTCTTCTGGGGCCCAAGGGGGGGCCTTGGGTGGAGCTCAGATGTGCCCCCTGGGAGGCGCTTGCTGGGCAACGCCCCTTGGGGTGGGAGATGGAGCTGGGTGGGCAAAAAGGGGGTGCCTGTGGGTGGGGCCTGCACCTGCACGCTTGCCTCAGCAGGTGTGACTCGGGCAACTGACCCTGGCTGAGGCTCAGGGACCCCCAAAACTTTGCTGTTTGATTGGAGACGTTTTCAAAACGAGTCCTTGGTGGCAACCCCAGGCCAGCTCCACAGGGCCCCACGATCTGTCTTCAGGGTGCTTCCAAGGCAGGAGCTCAGGCCGGTGGGGCACCCTAACCCTCGCTGGATGCTCCTGCCACCCTCCCTGGTCTGCTCCCTCTTGAGAGGGGCATGGGCTTCGAACCATGGGCTATGAGCCTATCCACATACCTTGTTTTCCCCACTAAATGGCAGCGTTTCTTATTGATGCCCATGGAAACCACCAGGGAGGTGGCTCTGCCCCCTGGCTCTACTCAAGGGATCATAATACATTTCAGAGCCAATCTTATCTCCACTACTTTATAGGAGTCAAAAATACAATGTTTTCAAGACAAGGACAGCCCAGCAGACCCACAAAGTCGCAGGGCACAGAGCTGCCCAGCACCCTTTCTCCCCCAGCCCAGCCTGTGCCGGCCGTGTTGTCCCGACAGGCGCCACACGGAGGCCTTCGCAGTTGGAAATGGTGCTGTGTGGCAAGGGCATCTGGGCCGGTGATGACAGCAGACAGTGGCGGGGGCTCGCATGGGGACCCACCACTGCGGCTCCACACTGCAAGCAGAGCCCTGGGCCCAGCCAGAAACCAAGCAGAGGCCATGCAGTGCGGAGGCTGAATGTTCTTGGAGAGTGTGGCCGGCTTCCTCCTCTCTCCAGACAGCAAGACCCAGGATGGGCCTGGAGTTGTCCGAGGACACAAAGCTGGTTTGCGGAGGGCTGGCCTGGGGCGCAGGGCTCCTGGTGCCTGGTTCAGAGCCTTTCAACCCCCGTGTTGCCACACCTGAGCCAGTGCGACACTCAGCTGCAGTGGCCAGACTGTGAGCCCAGGGTCATCGCGAGGCAGACGCCAAGACAGGATGAAGGGCAGGAGGATTTCATCGGGGGATCACCAGTGTGGGAGGAAATGGGGAGGCAGCCAGGAGGCTGGGAAAGCTGTGGGACAGAAGTACGAGTCTGACTGCCAGGGAGGCGGGGAGGGGAGGGAGCGAAGTGGTGGGTGCAGGCTGTGGGGAGCCCTGGAGATGTGGCTGGGGTAGAGGAGTCCCAGTGAGGGACAGGAGTGTGTCTGGTTCTCAGCTGTGTCCCCAGCACCTTGGACAGTGCCTGGCACATAGTACATGCTCATTGTAGGTTTGATGAGCGAGTGAATGAATGCATGGCTGGCGATGGGCTAGTGGAGGAAAGGGGAGAGACCTGTGCGTGGGAAGGGCTCTTGGAGCCTTCTGCCAAGGAGAGTGGAGCCCCAAAGGCAGTACAGAGCGTCTATGTTCTCTCCAGACCGTGACCCCTCAGCCACCCTGACTCAGCCCTATCTGCTCCCTGCCATGGAGGTCTTAGACATGCTATCCCGGGCTGCAGCCTACTAAGCAGGACCTTGAGAGTGAATGTGCTGCCTGAAGCACATGGCCAGCCTCCTTCGGCGCCAGCCCGCTGGCCCTGTTTGCGGGAAAATGCCTTCTGTATTGCTTCGTAATGGCCTGCTTTGTTCAGCCAGCTTTGCACTTGAAGCCAGCCAGCTTGGCAGCCGAACGGCCACATGTCGGTCATTCAGGCAGCAGGTCAGCAGTGGAACTGGGTGGCTTCCAGCTGCCCGTGGGAGCCGGCCTGAGATGAACCTCCTCCCTCCTTCTGAGAAGTGGCCGGGCACACAGGAGTGCAGCCTGGCTGCATTTTCAGTCATTTCCCAGGTTATTTTCCTGGCTGCAGTGACACACCAGCCACATGCTGCCCATGTGGGCCTGGGTCTCCCTGGGCTTAGGAGGAGCCCCACAGGTGCTTTATGAGGACGGGCTGGGGAGAGTGGAGGAGGCGTCCCCAGCCTGTCCCTGCGAGGTGCCCGGGTCCCGGCTGCAGCCTGCCCATGTCCCCAGGTGCCTGCATGGCAGAGCCAGGCCACCTGCTGTGCATCCGCCACCTTGTGCTGGGAGGGTGGCACTCAGTGGATGCCAGCCATGCACCCGCCTCAGCCTCCACATTCACTTTGCCACAGGGAAAAAGGGAGCATTGTGCTGGCCCAGTGACCCCAGACGTGCTGACCTACTGGGAGGGGCAGTGGGTCTGCCCCGCATCCGAGTAAGGCGGGAGCTGCTAAATGCACCCATTTGGGCTCTGCCCCAAAACCTCTTGTGGGAGCCTGGAGATCTGCATTTCCACATAGTTTAGGTAACTCCCAGATGATGGATGTGTTGCGAGGCTGGGAATCCCTACATCACCTTCCCAGGGACAAGCTGATTGCACCCTCAGCTCCCCATCCCAGGCTCTGGCTTTGCTGGGGCCTTGCGGTTTCAGCCCCAGGTTCACGAGCTTGGTTCCGACACCCCTCAGCCCCTCCCTAAGACCTCTTTTGCCTGCTGAGGGAGCAGGCGGGTCTTTCAAAGCTTCCCCCGAATGCCTGGGGTCCTCTCCTCTTGTACTTGCTTGTGAGTCATTCAAGCAGCTCCAGCTCCGTGCTCACCGAGTTTCCTGGGCTTCCCTAGCAAAGTGCCCCAGAACGAGTGGCTTAAAACAACAGAAAGGTATTCTCTCCCAGCTCTGGACACCAGAAGAGCAAGATCGAGGCACACCCTCCCTGAAGGCTGAGGGGTGTCCCTCCTGCCTCCTGCAGCTCCTGGTGGCTCTGGTGCTCTTGGGCTTGTTGGCCGCCTCTCCCCATCTGTGCCTCTGTCTTCCCTGAGCAGGGGAAGCACTGCCATCAGCCCCATGTCACAGACAAGGAAACAGACCCAGGGCTTCCGCAGCCATACACCATGCCGCTGGGGGAGAGGCTGCTGGGACCCCACCCCTGCCCCCCAGGCCTCCTGCTCCCAGAGAAGAGAGCCCCCCCCACCCTGGCAGGGAGGAGCTGAAGGGTCCCTCTCTGAGCACTGTCACCCCGCAGGCCGGGCCGCCGGGGTCTGACTGCAGCCTCCCGAGTCACTCTCAGGTCAGGGAGACACCGCATGACCACGTCCCCGATGCGCCTTCTGGTTGGGGTGAGGCTCTGACACCGCGGAAGCCAACAGGGTTCAGACATCCCGGTTCCTAATGTTTTGCAAGGCCTCAAGCCATGTTTGGGGCATCCTGTGTGTGTGAGGGCCAGCGAGGGCTGGCACTGTACGCTGCAGCTCTGCACAAGGAGGGCTGAAGTTGCTCTCTGTGCCTGGTGCAATTCTCAGGGTGCACATGGGGCACCCCCCAACCCTTGGCCCTCTCCTGATCATCTGCAGACATTCTGGTCCAGCCAAAGGAACCACCTCCCAAGGGCAGAACCAGCCTCCACGCTGGGGTGACTGCCTGCCCCCTGGGTGGGCAGGGCTCTCCCAGCCCCTCTTGTCCCCAGGGACCAAAGTTGGGTCAGGGCCTGGCTGTGCATGGCAGGGAGCTAACCTCTGCGTCCACCAGCTCTGAGTCAGCCAAGAGCCCTGTGCCCACAGGACCTTCTGGAAGCTGAGGCCACCACGTGCAGGCCAGTCTCCTGGGCGCTGGCCTCCGTCTGCACATCCCTGGCTTCAAATGCTACTTTTGCCTTCTGGTCACCACTGCGGTTGGTGCTCACAGGACTTTTCAACATGGACAGGCCTGCATTCAGATCCTGCCTGGTCCTTGCACCACATGTGGCCCTGGCCAGGTCCCCACTCTAGGTCCTCTCATCTGTAAAGTGGGTGGTGCAAGGAGACAGTCCATGGAAAGCACCCGGCGGGGCTCAGAGAGACCAAAAATGTGATCCCCTATCTAAAGCGTCTCTTATTCCCAGGGACCTAAGCGGAAGAAGCCAGTGCTTAACCAGAAGAGTGAGATTGAGGTGGAAGAACCCAGGCACTGGCTCCCCGGGCTGGATCCACCTCGAGGCTCACCCCAAGGCATGCAGTGAGTGGAAGGCTGGGATCCCCACCATCCATGGGCTCTGCTGGACTTGCTGGGGCTCAGGGCTGGGCGGGCACTCCCAGGACTGGCCCCCTGGCCTGGGCACTGTCAGGGCCCAAGGGGAACAGACCTCACTCTTCACCCATGGGGCTGGGTATAGAGGAGCTGTTTCATGGTTAGAGTTCCCAACACCCAGACAAATCCCACTGGAAGCCTCAGGGTGGGGCCCAGAAGCTGCATGTGCAGAGGCCCCCAAGCCACCACGGTGCCCCTAGGGTGCTGTTGTTGCAGAGCCTCGGGCTGGGATCCTGACTCAGCTGCTCACCAGCTGGGCTGCCTTGATATTTAAACTTCAGTTTCCTCTTTTGCAAAGTGTCAATCATAATACCCACAACTCACCTGTAAGCTCTAGATAGGATTCCGAGAACAGCACCGGTGTCGAGGAGAAGTGCTATTAGCCATGCAGTCATACAGGAAAGTCCTATGAAACAAAAGTGACGATCACCTTCCGTTCCACCGTCCGGCAGATGTCAGTTCTGACAAATGTTTGTGTCTCTTCTTCCAGCTTATTTTTCATAATAGAGTGTAATATAAATTGGAGCCATCCTGTACACCTACTTCCCTTTTCAATTTAATGTATCAGAGCATTTCTCTATGTCATTAAATATTCCTTTCTGACATGGCCTTATTTCAGTGCTGCTTTAGGAAATATGGGTTGTTTTCGACTCTTCACTATCATAGATTTATTACTTGTAGGGAATATTGTCATAAAGGAATCTCCACACTTGCAAGGTTATTTCCTAAACATCTGAGTGAAATCCACAGATGCCTCATGTCCCCTGTTGCTTTAAAACGTTGCTCTGTCCCCTCCTACCAGTGGGACAAGGTCAGGCTCCAAGTCCCCACACTGGGGAGGGGTGAACCTTGGGGTGGGGCAGCTGCAGCCCTGGCCAGGCCCTGAGAGAGGCCAGCCCGGGGAGCCACTGCCCGGGATCTCCCACCTGAATCTCATTCCTCTGGTTCAGCAGTGAAGCTGAACCTCGCCAAGCCTTTAGATCTAAATTCCTGTTGGCAGGAAAACACTGGGAAAGAGAGAAGGAGACCAGTTAGACATCACTGCCAGTCAGCAGTGACATCAGGAATGAGAGACGTTTTGAGTCTCAGAGTGCGGGGGATGTCCAGGCAAGGTCAGTGGGGAAAACGCAGTTGGCGTTACACCCTCCCCCATACACCAGTGTACCAGGTTAGCTGCTGTTAGGCACGTCACCTGTCCCCTGTGTGTGCACCTTGTGGGTACCACCCTTGGGTGTATCTCAGTGCAACTGGGGACACATGGGTGTTGCCTCTGTGTGGTGGGAGACATGCCCCTGACTCCAGGGACAAGCAAGCAGCAAGAGGAGGGCTGGAGGCCAGATCCCGAGTTTCATTCCCAGAGCTTCCCTTTCAGTGGCATGAACTAGGAGATGCATATTTTGTTTTCAAATCATGAGACTGGCCAGGCATGATGGCTCACGCCTGTAATCCCAGCACTTTCATGAGATCAGCCGGGCTCAGTGGCTTACACCTGGAGTCCCGGCATTTTGGGAGGCTGAGGCGGGTGGATGGCTGGAGCTCAGGAGTTTTGAGACCAGCCTGGGCAACATGGTGAAACTCATCTCTACAAAAAATACAAAAATCAGCCAGGTATTGTGGCATACTTGTGGTCCCAAATACTCAGGACACTGAGGCTGGAGGATGGCTTGAGCCTGGGGAGGTCAGGCTGCAGGGAGCCAAGATCATGCCCCTGCACTCCAGCCTGGGCGGCAGAGTGAGACCCTGTCTCAATCAATCAATCAATCAATCAGAATGAATAAATAAGTTATGAGATTACGTTAACATTTCCAATTCAAATTTAAGATGACAGTGCTCCTCTTAACCTATTGGATTTTATATTTGTGAATTTTTTCTCTTTCAGTAATAATAATTTTGGTTCCTCACAACATTCACATAATTACTTACTGGCTTTATCCTGGAAGAGGAAAAAATTTAAATAACGATGCCAGACTTAACACTAACACTAAGACCTACTGAATGATACATACGATTTCCTTGCCATTCTTTTTATCCTTAAAATACGCGCCACCAGTTAAAAAAAAAAAGCCTAAATTCTGTGCTGTAAAACTACTTCAAATAATTTTGTCTTTGTTTTAGTTATGTTACAAACTCTATATAAATTTTCACTTTTGTTGGTTTCCTTTTCTAAGGATGCTCTCTTTTAAACTTAAATTTTAACAAATTCAAATTGTTTTGAATATGGGAAACATTCACATAGTTCTGGACTCAAACACTAAAGCCAAGTATCTCCAGAGCAGCTAGCTTCCATTTCTAACTCCACACACACGTAAAGTCACCATTTTTATTAGTTTCTGATTTATCTTTCCAGTGCTTTTCTTTTGCATCTATAAATAAACACGCACATATACATATCCTTACACTTTATTACACAAAAGATGTGTCACTACGTACTGCCGTCTGCTTTTGCCACTTAACAATATATCTGGAAATGGCGTCTTATCAATCCCTGGAGAAGGGGGCTGGGCCTGGGTTGGAGGGAACCCAGCAGGCTGGGAAGGAGGGGTCTGGAGCATTTTCTTCTCCAGGCAACAGCAACACTGGTGGTGGGGGATTGACCTGGGGTTTCCAGGAATAGATGTTGCTGGAATGCTTGAAAGAATATTAGGAGAGAATGTGAGTGCTCAGTATGGTCCGGGCTCTGATCCTAAGCAGCCTGATGCATCTCAGTTGAGACTGGATTCCTCGGCCATCCTGGGGTTTGTAGGAGGATGGCACTGGGCTACATAGCAGCTCCCCTAAATTTACATCTACCCAGAAATGGGGAACATGACCTTATTTGGAAGAAGGGCCTTTGCAGATGTGATTAAGTCAAGGTGAGGTCATACTAGATTTGTGTGGGCCCTAAACCCAGTGACTGGAGTCTTACAAGAGGAGGGGACACACAGCAAGGCCGGGGAGAAGGCCGCGTGACCCCGGGGACAGAGATGGGAGCAGCGCAGCCACAAGTCAAGAATGCTAATGGTTGCCAGCAACACCAGAAGCTGGGAGAGCAAGAAACGGATTCTCTTCTAGAGCTGCCAGAGTGGGGCTGGCTCTCCTGACGCCTTAAGCTCAGGCTTCTGGCCTCAGAACCAAGAGGGAATACACTTCTGTTGGTCTCAGCCACCCCGTTGGTGGCACTTTGCTTGGCAGCTTCAGGACACTCACAGAGATGGGATGGTCTCTGAGGCTGATCCCTGTTCTCACGCCCTTGGCCAGTAGCCTTGTTCTCATCCGAGTGTCCAGAGAAAGGGCTGGAGGAACGCAACTTGGGAAAGTGCAGGCGTCCCACTGACCCAGGCTGGGTGGCGGCAGAGAGTGGCATTCCCACTGAGGTAGCTGGTGACTGCCTGGCCAGCAGGGGAAACCGAGGCACCCAGGATGGCTTCACAGCCAGACCTGGGGAGAGTGTACCCATCAGCAGAGCAAGTGGTGGGGGGAGCCATCGGGAGCCCGGGAGAAGAGGGTGGGTGTGGGGTGATGAGGGCACCGGGAGGAAACATCCCGCCAGACAAGTGGAGAGGCAGCTGGAGTGTTCCAGGGGCTGGGGCTCGCAGGACAGCTGAGTGTGGGGGTGCTGAGGACACGGCGTCTGCACACTGGTGTCCAGGCGGCCCTCGCTCAGCAAGCTCTCCAAGTCGTTTCTGCAAGGTTTATGGAAACGCGGTTTTTCCCGGGAGGTATGTGTGTCACTGGGAATTGTTGAATGTCTGTTTACAGTCGCCACTCCTGCTGGGGTGATTAAAAGCGCCATCAGAGTTGATTGTAGCCTGGGTGGTCTCTTGATCTGGGGGTCCTCTGGGTTGAGGGGGTGCTCTTGCCCTTCCCTTTCTGGTGTAGCACGAGCTGAGCTGGAAGAAAGAGGCTCCCGCACCCTCCTGGCCAGAGACCACAACCCCAGACGACCCCTGTGAGGTGGCGTGAAGTCTCGCAAACCCAGGGACTCGGCTTGGACAGAATTTCCTGGCTGCTCCAGTCTTGAGCCCTTCTGTCTTGCTTGTCTTGCTTTTAGTCCTGCCTATCTGAGACAGCCCAGCCTCACCCCGTGTGTCCAGGGATCTGCTGGTCTTCCCCCGAGCTCCATCCCTCTGTCCCACGCCAGCCCCTCCACCTGGCACACGCCACACAGTGAGCCCCCCTCACCCCCTCCAGGGTGCAGCTGGAGGTCCGGGAACCTGCGCGTGGGCCCTGGGAAGCAGCACGGGGCTTTGTGGGCCAGGCGGGGTCCAAGCTCAAAGGCTGGGTCCACAGTGCCTGCTGGTGACCTTCGGCACGCCAGCTTCCTCCCGAATCAGGGATGCCCTTGCTCTGGGTCTGCTTCTGCTGTAGGAAACCTTCTCCAATTCAGGCTGAGACAGATGTCACAAACAGGACTGTCTCCCCGATTCAAGCTGAGACAGATGTCACAAACAGGACTGTCTCCCCGATTCAGGCTGAGATAGATGTTACAAATAGGACTGTCTCCCCAGGACAGGCGGCCTGTGCTAGTGGCTGGAACCTCTGTCGTGTCATGGCAACACAGCCAACGGCTGCTGTGTGTCCCTCCCAACCCCAGGTCCCAGTCCTTGGACAACTCATGGGACAGTGCGGGGAGCACAGAGGTAAATCTCCCTGCCGCAGATGCCACTGCTGCCTGTGGGTGGGGTCCCTCGGTGCGGGTTCCTCTGCACCTGCTGTCCTGTGTGTCCTGCTGGGCCAGTGTCACCTGGGCTTCCCTCACACCCACTCCCCACTGACTAAGGAGGCCACACAGACCGAGGCCTGAGCCCCAGCCCGCTGCCTGCAGGTTCAGACACTTGGGCATGTTTCTTAGCCATTTGGAGCCTCGGTTTTCCCATCTGGGAAATGGGGACAATGATATCTCAGAGACACTGTAGTGATCACCGGAGAGGACCACAGACCACTCTCAGTGGGGGTGCCAGGCATCGTGTCCATGTTTGGCGAGGAAGGATTCAGCCTGACCCTTGGCTTCCTCCATCCCAGATGTCCCTTGAGGCACGTGGCCTGGGGTGGGGGATCCGGAGAAGAAGGGAGACAGGCCACGACGTACGGTGACCCCAGGCTAGGCCCACAGACCCGGGTAGATCGCCACCACTCCCACTGGAATTCTCAGGGCTGTACACTCATTGTTTGGAAATAATTATTTTTGTGCAGTCCTTAGTTTCCGTAATTAATTCTTTGATAACAGTCCCTTCTATAATAGCTCCTCACAAAGATTCTATAGAAAGCACCAGGCGGTTTCAGCTGAGCCGGCAGCAACAGCCTTTTCTCTGAGCTCGAGGTCTAGGCACAGTCACAGCGGCAGAGAAATGCTGGGTAAAGAGGCCCTGGGCGTTGGGAGGGGCGCCAGCAGAGCAAGGGGCTTCCCACCGCCGCCTCCCTCCCCACAGGCTGGTCAGGCGGCCAGGCTACAGGGGCCCTGCTCTGCAGAAGGCCTTTCCTTCCAGAGCCCTGCAGCCTCTGGGAGCCAGCACCGGCCCCACCAAGCCAATCCTCGGAGTGGGTGGAGTGGGGCCTGGGGGCTCGAACCCCCAGACCGACGGCCACAGCTTGTCGTCTATGGCGCTCTGTGATGGGATGGGGGGACTGCCACAGAGGGAAGAAAGAGAATCGGCCCCTGCCTTCCCAGGGGCCTGATCCTACGGGGAGGTGGGACACTCACGCTCAAGGGCCCAGATGCTGTAAACACAGCTGTCCCAGGTGGTCCAGGTCAGGAAGAGGCTCAGATGGGTCGGAGTCCCACCTCCACGGCGGTTTTGGAGAACAGCCCAGGGGCAAGTGAGTCTGTAGATGTATCTGGCCACCCCGGAGACTCCCCTCTTCCACCTGTTGGGAGCCAGAAAGCCTCCATCTTCCTGCCCCGCCTCGGTCTGCCACTCATAAAGCCTAGACCATCCTACTTCGATATTGCAACATTGCATGGCTGGGGTCCTTTTGGTTGAAGTGACAGAATCCCAACCCAAGCTCATTTCAGAAAAGAAGGGCGTTTGCAGGTTGACTTGCCTAGAAAATGTGGGGTAGAGTGGCTTCAGGTGTAGCTGGGTCCAGGAGTTCAGAGGCGGTCACTAGGCACCATCTAATTCAGACTCTAAGCTCAATCCTGCCTGTGTTGGCTTCATTCTCAGGGAAAGACGGCCCAGGAGCTCTAAGTTCAGGGGGTCCTCGAAACTCCCAACTTGGAGGGTCAGGGTGCTTCTGTCTTCAGCAAAATCCCAGGCAGGGCTTTGTGTGGGCTCGGGCCCCATGCCCACCCCTGTCCTGCTGTCTGTGGTGGAGGAATGAGGTCCTCTTGCTGGCTAGCCTTGGGGTCACATGATCACCCCGAGGTTGGCAGCAGCCCTAGAAACACAGACAACAAAATACATGACACTACGTAAGAGTCAGCAGGCGGGTTTTCTTAAACAAAACAAACAGGGTTTTGTGACGAAGAGAAGAGGAAACTGTCTGGGAAGGCGAAGATCACCAGGGCCCGACAGCACTGTAGACACAATGACATCACTCGGAGCAGCGCGCTTGCTTTCTGGGCCTCACATGCCCACTCGAGTATCTTCCATCTCTCATGCCTGGGAGGCCCCGCCCCACATGCTGTCCCAGGAGCATAGCAGGCATCGTACACTGTGCAGTGTGGGGTACACACGTAGGCACTTCAGACCCAGGAATCACGGACTCCTGTCTCCTGCCATATATGTGGGAGGTCTGTCTCCACTGTAGACAGAGATATGAGGTGTGTGTGTTTGCATGTGTGTGCGTGTGTTTGCTTTGTGTGCGTGTGTGCATGAGTGTGTGCTTGTGTGTGCATGTGTGCGTGTGTTTCCTTGTGTGTGTTTGTGTGCATGTGTGTTTGTGTTTGCGTGTGTTTGCATGTGCATATGTGGGAGTGACAGAGAGGGAGAGTGTGCACACATACTGGGTCTATGCCCCAAGGGCCACTCCCACCCCTACCATGGGGATGCGGTGCCCTTGGGGGTCTGCCCTCTGTGACCCCCAGGCATGTGAATTTTCTAAAACTGGCTTCTCCCCTCTTGGCTCCTGTCCGTCCCAGATCCAGCATCCACGTACATTTGACGCCAATGGAAACTCTGCCTTGTGACTCGTGGAGGGGCCTCCTCAAGGGGCGTGTGACTGTGAGGGGGCCAGGCTGGGCTCGCTTGTGTGGAGGGGAGGGGCACGCTGCGGGGGGTGGGGGGGCGCCACCCCCACCAGGCCAGCCTCAGGGCAGCCGGGGCAGAACCTGTGGCTCTGGGGTAAATGCCGGGGCCAGCTTAAAGGAGTCAGCTCTCTGCAGCCTGCCTCGGCTGGGTGGGAACGAGTCCAGGCTTCCAGGCATTTGGAACCCGAGCAGCTGCAGGGACAGGCTGGAGCCTCAGCCTTCCCTCCCCGACCCCAGACCCTCTCTGGCCCCTCTTAACCCAGCCAGATGAGCTGTTTGCGAAACCTGGCCTGTCGCAGACTGCGGAGAGATCTGAGGAGGAAGGAAACCGTTTCTTAGCACCTCCAGCAGTTCAAGCCCACTTCGAGCCCTCCACGTCCGGGCTTTCTCCTCCTTTGCAAATCTGCTCCTGTTTCTGCGCTTCCAGGAGCC
Organism: Homo sapiens; assembly: GCF_000001405.40. Taxonomy (NCBI): domain Eukaryota; kingdom Metazoa; phylum Chordata; class Mammalia; order Primates; family Hominidae; genus Homo; species Homo sapiens. Next base: position 43,333,435 of record NC_000021.9, read on the forward strand.
TGGCTGGGGCTGGAAATAGAAATGCATTCCATGCATTCATTCTCTCAACAAATATTTACTAAGCACCTCCTCAGGGCAGGCCGGGGCTGGGCACAGCGTCATCCTCCGCCTCCTCGTCCTCCTCCTCACCAGTGAGCAAAACAGACAAAGCCTGCACCTACGCGGAGTGGATGCCCTAGTGGGGGAGCAAAGGGAGGGGGAAGAAGTGCATCTCGTAGTATAGGGAAGCCTGAGAGCTTTGACAGGGCAGCCGGGAGCCGGGGGTCACAGTTCCACCTGGCTGTTGGCGGCATTTGATCAGGAGACAGTCGCTGGAGGCCGTGAGCCCAGCAGCGTGGAGCTCCCTCGACTGCTGTGACTTCCGCGTGGAGCACAGACGGCGGCGGGGGTGGATGGGAAACTGTAGGAGTCTCGTGCAGTCATCCAGGCCAGCGAGGCAGGGAAGTGGGCAGATTCCGGATGCATTCCGATGACAGAGCTCATGGGGTTCCTGGAAACCAGGAGAACGCGATTCACTCTGAGCAACTGGAAGGATGGCTCTGTCACCACCCAAGAGGGGGATGGCCGTGTGCAGGGATGGGAGGCGGGAGCGGCTGTGCACTCAGGGCAGGAGGGATGTCTCTCGTGAGACATTTACTGGATGTCCACTTGAAGGAAGCAGTTGGGGACACAGTCCGGAGGCCAGGGGCGAGCGGGGTTGCAGAGACACCCAGGAGCCATGGAGAGTACTCACTGCCTTGACAAATCTCTTTTAATTCCTAGACCCAGGAAAAGTCTTGCAAATGTTTATCTGGCATCTCCCCCAATGGTCCCCACCCTGTAGGAAAAAGTTCCTCAGGACTCCAGGGCCAATTTTGAGTCCTCCCAAGGGTTCAAAGTCCTCCTCAGTCTCCTGAAGCTGGAGACACGCTGGTCATGCGTGAGCCTTCACGTCCCTCTCTCTGTCAGCAGAAGCCCCACCAACCCCCAGGAACCCTGACCACCACAGGAAGGCCGCAGTCTGATGGTGAGGCTGCTTCTGTGGCCCAGGTCCTGAAACCAGGAAGAAATTAGATGAGAAGGCTCCTATCCCCCAGCTTCCAGCCTGGGCACTTCCACCCCACCCTCAGCGTGATGGAAAAACGCCGGGGGTGTGTCTGTGTGTGCGTTTGAGAGTGTATGTACGTGTGTTGTTTGTATGTGCTTGTGAGCATGGTGCATGCATGTGTGATTTGTGTGTGTGTTATGTGTATATGCATGAGCATTGTGTGCATGCATTTGTATTTGTGTGTGGTTCAGCATACGTATGTGTTTGTATGTTATGTACGTGTGCTCTGTGTTGTGTGAGTGCATATTATGTGTGTTTGTGCATGAATGTTCAGTATGTGCGTGTATGTTCTTGTGTGAGTGTGTGTTTATGCGTGTGTGGATGTGTGTATGTCTGTGGAGTGTGCAGCACGCATGTATATTTGTGTGTGTGTGTGTGTGTACTTAAGTCTGGTGTAGGCCGGGCACGGTGGCTCACACCTATAATCCCAGGACTTTGGGAGGCCGAAGCAGGTGGATCACTTGATGTCAGGAGTTCAAAACCAGCCTGGCCAACATGGTGAAAGCCCGTCTCTACTAAAAATACAAAAATTAGTGGGGTGTGGTGGCAGGCACCTCTAATCCCAGCTACTTGGGAGGCTGAGGCAAGAGAATCGCTTGAACCTGGGAGGCAGAGGTTGCAGTAAGCCAAGATTGCACTCTAGCCTGGGTGACAGACTGAGATACCGTCTCAAAAAAATAATAATAAAGTCTGGTGTAGAGTGATCGAGTGACATCACACAGAGCCCTCCGGGGCTGCACCTCTCAGAGGCAGGGAGCAGTGAGTGAGTGTGTGCAGGCCAGGCAGTCATGGGCGCTCCGTCAGCAGCAGGCACGCACCCCCCGACCCTGGGGACACCAGTTGTGTCAAGAGAGACTCACCGTCCACCTCCTGGCTGTGGGCAGAGAAGCTACTCCTTAGACCAGGTGGTGCTTCTGGGGGAGGGGAGCGAGGCCCAAGAGGGGCTGAGGGGCAAGAAGAGGAAGTGAACGTCCTCAGGTGAACCACAGCTGGGGTAGGAGAGGGCAGGAGGGGGTCTGGGAGGGCAGCCCCACCAGAGACAACTTCCTTTGAGTGCTTATCGGGACCTTGGCACATAAGGAACCCAAATGCCAATGGGTCAGCAGTGGGCACAGAGCTGGTCAGAGGGTGTGTGGCCTGTGGTCAGTGGTTCGGGGAAAGACAAGGATGCAGTGAAAGCAGTGTGGGCCATGGCTGGACAGTGAGCTGAGGGCTGACAGGACTCATCCTAGCCAGTGCTGACCTCCTGGGGTCCAGTGCACCCCTGATCATGCAGGTAGCCCCATCAGGATTGAAATGGGGAGCACGGATGATGATTTCTGCAGGTGGTTGGAAAGCAGATAGCAAATGCCATGAGCTTTCTCTAGAAAATGGCCAGCTTTATTTACAAGAGTGAGAACATTACTAACACCACCACTGCCACCACTACCATCGCCACTATCATCCCATCATTATCACTACAATCACCACCACCACCATCACCACCATCACCATCACCACCATCACCACCATCACCATCACCATCACCACCACCACCACCAACACCACCACCATCACCACCATCACCACCACCACCATCACCACCACCATCACCAACATCATCACCACCATCACCACCATCACCATCACCACCACCATCACCACCACCATCACCAACATCATCACCACCATCACCATCACCACCACCACCACCAACACCACCACCATCACCACCATCACCACCACCACCATCACCACCATCAGCATCACCACCATCAGCATCACCACCATCACCATCACCACCATCACCATCACCACCATCACCACCACCAACACCACCACCATCACCACCATCACCACCACCACCATCACCACCACCATCACCACCACCACCATCACCACCACCATCACCACCACCAACACCACCACCATCACCATCACCATCACCATCATGACCATCACCATCACCATCACCATCACCACCATCACCATCACCACCACCAACACCACCACCAACCCCACCACCACCACCATCACCATCACCACCACCACCACCATCACCATCACCACCATCATCACCACCACTATCACCACCATCAGCATCACCACCATCACCATCACCACCATCACCACCATCACCACCACCAACACCACCACCATCACCACCATCACCACCACCACCATCACCACCACCACCACCACCACCATCACCACCACCATCACCACCACCAACACCGCCACCATCACCATCACCACCATCACCATCATGACCATCACCATCACCACCACCATCACCATCACCACCACCAACACCACCACGACAATCACCACCACCACCACCACCATCACCACCACCACCACCATCACCATCACCACCACCATCACCATCACCACCATCATCACCACCACCATCACCACCATCATCACCACCATCATCACCACCATCACCACCACCATCACCACCACCACCACCACCATCACCATCATCACCATCACCATCACCACCATCACCACCACCATCACCACCACCACCATCACCACCACCATCACCAACACCAACACCACCATCACCACCACCATCACCATCACCATCAGCAGCATCATCACCACCATCATCACCACCATCAACATCACCACCATCACCATCAGCATCATCATCACCACCACCACCATCACCACCACCACCAACACCACCACCATCACCATCACCACCATCACCATCATGACCATCACCATCACCACCACCATCACCATCACCACCACCAACACCACCACAACAATCACCACCACCAACACCACCACCACCACCATCACCATCACCACCACCACCACTACCACCACCATCACCATCACCATCATCATCACCACCACCATCACCACCATCATCACCACCATCACCACCACCACCACCATCACCACCAACACCACCATCACCACCACCATCACCATCACCATCAGCAGCATCATCACCACCATCATCACCACCATCACCATCACCACCATCACCATCAGCAGCATCATCACCACCATCATCACCACCATCACCATCACCACCATCACCACCACCACCATCACCATCACCACCACCACCATCAACATCACCACCACCATCACCACCACCACCATCACCATCACTACCACCACCTAGCTACTACTCTCGGGGGTAAGGACTGGATATTTCTGGTTGCCCCACTTCCTCTCTCCATCCCTCTTCCTGCCACCTGTACTGCACTTCTGAAAGCTGCCCGCTAGGCAGGTGACTTCTCCCTCTAGGCTCCTTCACCTCTGGGCTTCTGTTTGGGGCTTCAGCCAATCAAAGATGGTGGCAGGACATCAGATTCAGGAAGGACAGACAGGACAGGAGGGACCTTCTGACCACGTCCCTCCAGGAGCACACCCTCCTGCCAGGTGGCCCCTCCCCGGGGCTCTGACCCCTGTTCTGGCAACAGCTTTCCTTCTTTTGCTTCCTTGGTCCTGGGCGTGGTCACGCCTTCCACTACAACAGGCCCCTTGGTGTTTTTCCCTCAACCTGCCGACACCTCTGAAAATGCTCTTTTCATAAACAAATCTCTTCAAACACCCCTGACGAGTGGGCCATCTGTTTCCTGCCCAGACTCTGAGAGGTGTCTGTCTTGCAGTGTGCCAGGATGGCACACACAGCCAGGGAATCCCAGCAGCACCTGTGCAAGACCAGCACCACGGCAAAGTGTCTGGCGTTACCTGTGCCCGCAGTGTCCAGGCTGAACTCAGGGCTGGGGCCTATCCTGGGGCTCTGCAGGAAAGCCAGGCTTCAGGCAGACGGGGCCTGGGCAAGCTCCAGAACCCAGAGGTGGTGAGAAGGCAGGAAAGATCCCGGGAATCAGATAGGCCAGGTGCTATGCTGGAGGGGTGACCTGCTGCGGGCCCCAGAACCTGTCCTGACTGCCCCAGGCTGTGATGGTCTGGCTGAACTCTGGTGTCCGAGAGCCTTGGAGAGAGGGCAAAGAAAGCCCCTGGCCACGGGGACCCACCACGCCACGCCACGCCACGCCAGGGCAGTGGGGAACTTCCAGGCTGGCTCCTCTCTCCTGTGCATGGCCCGCCTCCCTGCCTCCATCCCCTCCTGATTCCCATCCTGTCCTTCCCCTGCTCCCACCCCATTCTATTTTCACCAAAGCAGCTCCCTGGTTTCCCAGCTCAGAAGCCTCTGATGGGATGGGCGTGAGGAGCGCCAGCCCCTGCTGTCCATTGGTCATGACCTCCAAAGAAAGCAACCCCCAGAGCAAGGGGACAAGGAGGCACCTCACTGCATCCTGGGCTGGCCTCTCCTGTTCCCTTGACTCCAGGACGGGAGCCCAGAGTGGGTGCCTGTACCCCGGGAGGGTCTGCAGAAGCAGGCGGGTGGGACTCTGTCATTTCTCTACCAGCTCCTTCCGGAGAGTCCACCACTCCTGAGCTTCAGGGGTGCCCGGACAAACCCCAGCAGGGGCCACAGGCTGTGGTGGGGGGCACTGTCCCAGGCAGGAGGAAACTGGCCTCACTGCACAGGTGTGGCTGGAAAGGAAGTGTGAGTTTCTGGCGTGGAGCCCAACTGGGGCTGAGACAGCACTTTCCCTCCCCTGGGACCCCAGCTCCTTCCAGGGTCTGTGTGACCCCATTTCCTTCCAGGTCTGGATCCTTGGCACGACAGCAGCCTCAGTCACTCTTCCTTCCTGCCGCCTCTGCAGCTGCCTCCTGCTGCCTCCTACCTCTTTCTCTCCTGTTCTTCTCCGTAGTAACACTGGTAGCTGCCACCCCCAGCCCCTGCTGGACACGGCTGTGAGAGCCATCTGGGGGCAGGTCACCCTTTCCTGGAGCACACTCTCATCTTGGGACTGTGAACTACCCCCAAAGATCTGGGAGGTGTCCCAGGTGCCCTGACAAAGCCACCGTTTCTTTGGAATCTCATATTTTTATATGAACAATCCCAGTGTGTCCTCCTCCACTGCCCTATCAACACTGGCGCTAATGGGCAGTGCAGCCTCCCCTCAGCCTCTGCCTACAAGGACAGTGCTCCAGGAACCAGGCGTCTCCATCGTGCCGCTCTGCCTACCCCTCCCGGCCCATCAGGATGGACACGAGTGCGCATCCCCAGAACTTAGTTGAGAATGACCTGCAGTGTGGTGGCCCCAAAGATGACCAGGCCCTAATCCTGGGAGCTGTGAAAATGTCTCACCTTACATGGCAGAGGGTAGCTGGGGCGGGTCCCCAGCCGGCTGGCAGTGGAGAGGCACCTGGGTTCCCCGGCAGGCCCGGTGTGAGCACAGAGGGCAGGGGAGGGAGGACACCCAGCATCAGATGCAACACAAGGGCCCCGCCCCCCACAGCTGGCTTGGAACCGAGGAAGAGGCTGTGAGCCAGGGAATGCGGGTGGCCTCGGGAAGCAGGAAAAGGCAGGGAAGTGGCTTCTCCCTGAGCCTGCAGGAGGAAGGCCGCCTGGCCCACACTGTCATCTCCGTCAGCGAGAGCTGGGTCAGGACATCGACCTCCAGAAGCCTGAGAATCGATCTGCGTGTTCCAGCCGCTGAGTGTCTGGCCGTCTGTTACCACAGGGCTGGGGAGGCATGGACTAAGCAACAAGCCCCATGGGGATCTCAGTTCTGCCCCCATGAGTGTGCGACCAGGAGTGACCACAGCCTCCCTGAACCCGGAATTCTCCACCTGGAGCACGGTCCGTGAAGAGCCAGGCTGGCTTAGGGAGACAACACGATAGCGCCTGGTAGGACGGCCTCCTCCGTCAGGGCGGCACCTCTGTCCAGGGACATCACCAGGTGGGGGTGGGCTGCAGGGGCTGGGGAGGAGGGACAGGCCCTGATGAGGGAGAGGTGCCCTCCAAAGATGACCAAGGCGTCAGCATCTGCCTCTAGGCAGGGCTCCCAACCTCGCACCCCGAGTGGGCTGCAGGTCAGTGGAGTTGTTGGTCCCACCTGGCCTGGGACTGGACGGACCCCCAGCAAGGAACCTCAGGGGCACCCAGCTCTCCTTGTGGCTGGGAATGGGACCCAGTGAGCACGCTCTGCCCAGGGTCTTTAAACACAAGTCAGTCTGTCCTCAGTGTTTAAAGCCAGCCCCGATGACCAGCAGAGTCCCCTTCCCAGGCCAGGAGCTGTGGCCCCGGCATGCGCCCTCCAGCCTGGGGAGAGGGGCCGTCTTGGAGCTCAGCAATCAGCTGAGGTGGGGTGTTTGAGCCGAGGAGCAGAGGGCGTCTGCAGAGGTGAGCTGAGGGAGGCAGGTCAGGCTGTCGGGGGCAGTTGCTGCCAGGAGTTGGGGGCAGCCTGCTGGCGGGGGCACCTGGACGGTGCCTGGGCTGTTGACTGACTCAAGGTAGGTTGGAGGGGTTGGGGGAGCTGCCTTCTTGGGAGGCCTTTGCGAGGATAAAGCGTGGAATGTCAGAGATGACTCACATCTTCTGTTCCTGGGTGGGCGGGGTCGGTGACGAAGGGCGGTCGGGAGGAGACACACGTGGGGTCACATAGCTGGACTCAAACCCGGCTCTTTCCCAGGGAAGTGCTGCACTCACGCCTGACGCTCCCTGGAGCGCCCTGTAGGGACCCCACGAAGTGCACCTTCTTCTCGCCCCTCCTGGCCACTGTGTTTCTCAGGAGTATCCTTTGAGGACCCTTTCAGTGAAATTGCAGGTTTCCAGCCGTGGCCAGGGCTCCTGCCAAGCCCCTCAATTAGCTGGAGTCCTTTGGTGGCCACAGGGTGGCCGGCCCACTGCTGCTGGGGGCCGTCAGGGCAGCCCGTCCTGGGAGAGACAATTCTCCAGCTTCCGCCTTCTCTTAGGGGACTGACCTGGTGCTTGTATCATGGAAACTGCTTTTAAAAACCCAGCTCCTGGGGAGACAGGGGTGTGAGCTCAGCACTGGGCTGCATATAGCCACCCCTGTCTCCCTGCGGGACCCTCTCTGCATCCCCAGAGCTGTGATGTCACCGTGACTCCCAGTAGCTGCTGAGCACCCGGCGTGAGCCCCTCCTGGCCAGCTCAGCACTGACGCAAATCAAAGGCTCCCAGCTCCCCGGGCAGCTGCCACTGCCCCAGCTGGCAGCCCTAGGCTGCCCGGGGTGAGGGGGGCTCTGGCGTGAGGCCTGCTATTTGAGGTCATCAGCTGCTCTTCAGGGGGCAGCCAACATGGCTTGTGGGGCTCCCCAGAGGTCAGGGAGAGGCAGATACTCTGAAGCTCCTGGTGGGGACGGTGGCCCCATGAAGCCACAGGTTCTGCCTGCCAGGCCAGCCCCTGCTCGTCTCCCTGTTCCCGGCGGATGGTGGCCCCTTGGCTGTGGTCATTGGCGGTGTGGCCCGAGTGGCACTTGAAGCATGGCAGGAATTCAGGCCAGGGTGCCCACAGGCTGTGAGGCAGGCGCCGTGCCTGCCCCAGGGGTGTGAAGGTGGCACATGGGGGCCATGTGCCATGTGTGGTGGCACATGGGGTCATGCAGGGCAGCCTCTGCAGGGGGTGAGCGGCATGTGGGCCGTGTCCTATTTCCTCTGGGTCCCTTTATACCTGGGCTTCTTAACAGCAGCTAGTGGGAGCTACAGCTGCTGGCCTCCGTCAGCCTCCCAGGGACTGTCTCATCTTTCAGAAGATCCTCGCCAGGGCGGCTCACCGCCACACGGACACACGGAACGAGTCTTCTGAGAGCCACATGGGAGCTGGGCTGCATAATGGGAGGCCTGGGGCGCCCTTTAGACCCCACCAGACTGGAGCCACCATGGAGATCTCAGCTGCCCTGGTGAGCGCCACCCACTGCTCCACAGACACACGCTGCCAGCCTGCAGGAGCAACCTGTGCATCCTTAAATAGGCGCGTGCACACACACACACACAAACATACACATGCACACACACACACTCATACACATGCACAAACATACACACGCACACACACACATACACAAACATACACACATACACAAACATACACATATATACGCATACACACATACTCATACACACATGCACACACACATATGCACACACATACACATGCACACACATACGCACGCATACACACATACACGCACTCATGCACACACATACTTATACACACACGTGCACATATACACATACACATACACTTGGGCTTACACACACATTCCCGTGCACACCCACACAACACACTCACTTGCACATACATATGCACGCACACACACATCAAGCACATGTACAGGACACGAGCACACACACGTGTGCAAAATGTGTGCACACATGTACACAGCACATATGTGTGTATGCAATGCAAGCACACGTTCACATGCATAACGGCAGAGAGCGTGTCTCAGGATTTTGACCGTTTCTCTGTCCCCTCCACGACACACACACTGTGCAGCTGGGGCTGAGACCCTCTGCCCTGCACTCAGTTGGCATGAAGGATCAGGGTGTCCACGGGCTGAGAATGGCCACCTGGGGGCTGACAATGGGGCAGCTGTTCAGGGTCAGGGTGGGTCCAGGTGGGTGGGACGAGACTGGGGTTGAGGACGATGATGTGAGGCCCCCCCCCAGGGCACCTTTGCCCCCGACAGGCAGCCCGGGGTGAGAACTGGCTCCAGCCACCTTTATCCGATACGTGAGGCAGACAGTCACGGGACACGGTGGACATGACGCTCTGCTGTGCAGAGAAACCGCTCTGTGTGCACAGCCCAAGTTCACTGGGCGGTCACAGCTGGGTAAGGATGGGGAACACAGCAGCCTGTGACCTCTCAGCCACTGCAGAGGCCACCTGTGTGGGTGGCCTTCAGAGGGCAGAACCCTCCCTGGGGACGCACCTGCCTCAGGCGCGGCCTGTGCATTCCTGCCTGGAGACAGGAGCTACCAGTCCCCGGCGCTGTTTACCTTCCGTCTGGCGGCCCAGCAGAGAGCCACCGCCCTCCCCTCTCCTGGCCTATATATAAGGCCTTGTCCTGGCTTTGCCCTGGGCGGGGACGCTGCTGTACTGTGCTGACCCTCTGCTCCCAGAAACCCAGGGCCACTGGCAGCTTCAGGGACAACCCTGCCTCTGAATTGGGGCCACGGACACCCAGGTTACTCACAAAATAGGTGCCCTTTTCCATGCAGATAGCTGAAGTGCAGACCCAGAGCTCGTGGGATTGCTGGTGGAAACTTCCAGAAGCATGCAGCAGGATTGCCATGGGGTTAGGAAGCCAAACAATCAGCAGACAGGCAGGTGCATCTCGGTAGGACCCCGCTCTGGGGAGGTCCCTGAACTGCATCTCCTGCTGGGGTCAGGACCAGCCTGCTTCCCAGAGCGCCCCGTGTGCTCCCATAGCAGGGCCGGGCTGGCACTCCTGGGCAGGACCGGCACTCCTGGGCCAGGCTGGCACTCCTGGGCCGGGCTGGTGTCAGCGGGCCCCAAAGACAGGCCCCAGGCCTGGGTGAACTCAGGGGCTCCAGCTGCAGCTCACCAGCCCAGGAAGTGGTTGCTGGGGGTCCTTAAGAGGCTCCATTCTCCCGGTGGGCTCCCCTGCATCCCCTCCGGCTGCCTCCCCCGCTGCACTAGCCTTTGCAGGTGTGTGTGTTTACCTTTAATAACTTAACCCTTTGGCCCAGTCTCCATCTGCCGACGCACAGCAGGCTGGCGGTCGTGCTCCCCACGTGGCAGGGCTGGTGGCCATCACCAGCAAGTGTGGGCAGGGCTGGAGGGGGGACCAAGCAAGGGCTTCTGCCCTCAGGCACAGCAAAAGCCAGAGAGGCGGAAGGACCCCTGCCCCCACCCCACCCGCTGGGGAAGGTGATGGTCAGGAGGGGGCTGATCGAGGGTTGCTCAGTCACCCCAAGATGAGGAGCAGTCGCTGGCACAGCCGCCTCGGCCCTCCTTCTCTCTTGGCAGGTAAATAGAGGCCCAGGTGGCACCCAGACCAAGGCAGACGCCTCTGCTCATTTTGGCCGAGCAAGGCCAAAGGCAGCCAAGGGTTGGTTTCCCTGCCCGCCCCCAGTCGAGAGTCAACATCCCACACACGCCAAACTGCCCTTTAGTTCCTAAGACGTAAATATTTGCTCTTCCGTTAAGAAAATACTCAGCGGTCCTCCTTTAAGTGCAGTGTATACCCCGGCGCCCTTCAAAAGCAAACACTGCTGTTTCCAAACAAGGAGTGCAAGGAGAAAGCCTGCGTGGGGGCTCCTGGGGGTGCACACCGACGCTGCGGGCTCTGCCCCGACCTGCCTGAATGTTCTCCAAGCCCAGGGCACCCAGGAAGGAAGCCGAGTTTGGCGAGAGGGAGACTGGCAGGAGCCCAGGGCCCTGAGACCGAGGCTGGGAGGAAGATCGGGCTGCTCTCCGCCACTTGGTGTTGCACGGCCGCCCCCAGGCCCCACCCGGGGGCGGCAGGCAGGGGCTTCTGCTGGGAGTGAGCCAGTCTCCAGGCCCCCAGCCCCCACCCGACCTTGCCAGAGCAGCAGTCAGAGGGCAGAGAAAGGCAGGGACCTTCAGTTGCACAGGAAGGTCTGCATCTGGGTCCGTTCTGCTTCTCACTGCACATGTGGCCTTGCGCAGCCTGTCCGCCTCTCGAGATCTCAATATTCTCACTTTAAACTAAGGGAACACAGCTTCCTTGCACCGCCGCTGACCTCCCTGGGCTGGACCTAAGCTGTGGCTGGTGGCTGGGGGCCCCAGCTTATGGACTGGGGCGTTTCGTCCCAACAGTGTCTCGTGACTTCACGTCGGTAGGTTGGAATCGGCCATGCTGGGAGTGTTTGCACCACGGGAACTGGTGAATGCTGTGCGTCAAAGCCAGGTCACCGCCCACCGACGGCCCTGGTCTCCCAGGGCCCCTCTCGCCTCACCTTGGGGGCTGCATTACAGACTGGAAAGGCTGCTTATGAGCATGGCACATGGTGGACCCTTGCTACAGGAGTCACACGAATGCATGAGAAAACCAAGGAACAACTGAATAGACAGCTGGGGCCATGCTCTCTCACGTCTCCACTTCTGCCGGGTGTCAGAACTTCCCAGGGCAGGGGAGCAGCCCCTTCCCACAGGCATCTCTCCCTGCAGAGAAGACGCCCCAGAAACCCACACTGCAGCGAGGGCCAGCGTGGCCCCCTGCCTCCCTGGCGACATCACAAGGGCCTCCATGCAAGTCCCAAGCGGTCCATCCGAGGTGCAGGGAAGCCGGGTGCCCGCGCTCTCTGACTGCTTCCTGTAGATACGTATCGAGCTGCCTGGGAGCCTCTTCGACCTGGGTGTGTGCGTCCCTGTGCCCCAGCCCCCTCCGGAGAGGCTCCTCACTCCCAGCTCAAGCAGATCCTAGAAGTTGTCTCTGATCTGGACCCCGCTCCAGACCACACTCTGGCTGGGAGCCGGGTTTGGGGCTGACCACGTGAGAACTCCCACGGACGTGGGTTAGCGCCTGCTCCAGGGCTGGCGGAGGAGGAAGGGTGCCCGGCCGCCCAGACCCCACCATCTCATCTGGGCCTGAGGCATCGGCCCGCAGAGCCCCAGTTCCCCGTCGCCGAGAGGGTATGAGAAGCGTGTGCCCAGCCAGAGCTCAGTGAGGACGACCTCTGACTTCCTTCATTTTAATCACGTCTTTCCAGGGGCCTCTGGAGCTGATGCAGGGGCTCCCTGGGCCTCTCTAGGGGACAGTGTTACTGGCTTATTTTCTGCCAACAGGAGCAAAAGATTAGGCAACACATCACCCTGAGTTGGGCGGGGTGGAGGGTCGTGGTCAATCCCGTATCCACCACGTGATCCAATGAGAACAGGCAAGGCCCGGGAACTGTGAGTAAGAAAGCGCTCGGGCTGAGTCACGTGCAGCTGAGCGGGGGCCTGTCCTTCCTGTCCTCCTGGATGGAGGCCCTCCCTGCGGGTTCCTCTGCTCTTTCCTGCCCCACTCCTTCTTTCATGAAGCAGCCCCTCCACCCCGAGCCTGTCCTGGCCCCATTTTAACCCACGCTGCTTCTTCCTCTGCATCTCTGGCTGTCAGGGAGGCCCCGCTCAAGGGCCTGCTGAGGCTCCACCACCCCCTCCTCCTGCAGAAGACATGTTTTTCACCTGCCCCAAGGACCAGGCAGCCTCCTGCCAGGCCTCCCCCTGCATCCCCTCATTCCAGAGGGCTCCCAAGGGCAGAGGCAGCTTGAAGTGAGCGTCTGTGGACGGCAGGCCCGCCTCAGGGGAAGCACACACAGGCTCTGCTGCACTCGGAGGCTTCCAGCCAGCCGTGGACGGTCACCATTCCCCAGCTCGGGGCCCACTGAACAGGGCTGGGAGATGGTGCAGTGGGAGGCCCAGAGGAGGTTCTAGGCCTACCCAGTACCTGGCCTGGCTGCTTGGGGAGGGGCAGCCACTGTCCCTGGAGGGCCTCGTCTGTGCGGGTGCCCCCACGGCACACACCATCCAGGAATTCCAAGTCCCGGGTCAGGAGTGTGACCACCGCCTGCCTGCAGCAGGCTGAGGAGTGAGGTCTGTGAGCCTTTGCTTCCCGGCCTGCTGCTGACTTACCCCTCTGCCAGGAACGACCACGCTGGACTCTGCAGCTTGGGCCAAGATAGCAGTCCCAGAAGAATGTTTCTGAGATAGGGTCTTCGTGTCCCATGATCCGGCAGCTCCCAGACCACAGTGAGGGGGCCAGGGACCACCCAGGTCTCCGTACCCCTTGGGGAGCTCTGGCGTCACCCCCATCTGTCTGTTTTGGGTGTAAAGTGGAGTCCACAGGCCCTGGAACCCACCAGCAGTTTTGAGTGGCTGGGCCTGACCTTTCAGTTGGTACTGAGAAGCCCTCGGCCCTCACCCCCAACTGCCACCAAGGAACCCTGTGGTTACCTAAACCCCAGGCCATGTGGCTGGGACCCCAGGGCCCGCCTTTCCCACCAGGCCCACTTGCAAAGGCAAGGGTGAACCCCCAACCCTACAGAAAGCAGGCACCCGCACCTTCCAGATGGCTCCCCCACTGCCCCAAAGCACAAATGACTGGTCAGACCGTGGGCCTGAGAACAGACGCCCCATCACAACCCAAGCACACACTCCCAGGAAACAAGCCAGCGGCCCCTCCATTCATCTGAGGAGCACACGAAGAGCTTAGACCTTTTTGAACTCTTCTTCCAGAGCATGTGATGGAGCCACACCTCACTGTTCAAGACCGACCGACAGAGGACAGATGTGCCTGGCAGGTTCCTTCCCCGTCCACAGTGCCGGCCCCCAGCCCGGCTCTGGCCCTGTTAGCCTGGTGACCGTCACAGCCCAGGCAGGGAAGGGACGTCAGGACCCAGGGACCCCAGGACACCCGGTGGGAAGAGGCCTCAAATCAGGCAGGGCCTTAGGATGCTTGCGGTGGAATGGGATTTTAGCGTCTACTTTTGAACAGTCATAGATTGGTTTTCTTGCATATTAGAAAAAAATGTAGGGCATAAAAACCACGACGAAGGATTCTGGCATTTTTGGCAGAGGCTGAATTCGTAGTCAGCCTGAGCCGGCTGAATGAGAAACACCCGTCTCTTGGAGGGGCCTCTGGTCGGCACCCCGTCTCCGGAAGGGGCCTTGCGGTCTCTGCCCTCAAAGTGCAGAAGCATCCACAGATGTGGAAAAGTGGGTGTGGCTTGTGCCAATTACACTGTGTTTATGGACCTGGAAATGGGAATTCTGTTTAACTTTCATGTGTCACAAAGCCTTCTCTTTTCCCCAACCATTTGTAAATGTTAGAATCATTCCTAGCTTGTGGTCAGACATGGGCAGGCTGAATTTGGCCATGGCCACAGGTGCCACCCTGGAGCTGCCTCATGTTCCCATCCTGTGGCTGAAGGACAGACCCAGGACGCTGAAGGGGCTCGCTGGACGCATGTGGCACTGGGCATCAGGGCCTGGGCTGGAACTCCTGTCCCCACCTCGGGGGCCCCACCTGGGGGTCTTGGGGGTGCGGTGGGCACTGGGTATGGTTGCTGCCGGCTGTATCCCAGCCCCTTCCTGCCTCTGCCACATCAGTAGGGGGCCTCTTGCCTCTGGGGCTGGAGGTATCCCGGCTGGGCCACCATGCAGACTGTGGGGTGCTGTGTGGCCAGGCCGGGCCCAGAAGGAGTCCCAAATGTCAGAGGAGAGAAAGAGGCCCCACCCAGAGGGAAACAGGGTGGACAGTAGGAGGGGGCTGGGTCGCTGAAGTCCCCAAGGCCGGCTCCTTCAAGGACTCTCAACAAACTTCCTTTTTGGCTTAAAGTTATTTTGAGTTCAGGTCTCGCTTCCTGCAATTCTCAAAATCCTGAAGCTCCACGAGTTTGCCCTCGCCGCCCAGAGGAGACCCCGGAGGACCCAGCCAGGCTCACTGTGAAACAGCCCCTCGGAGCTCATGGCCCCTCAGGACAGGGTCCCAGCCGCAGCGAGGAAGCAGGGCCCAGGGGCTCCAAGGGTGGCGCCTGCACGCATGCCTGGGAGAGCAAATGACACACCCAGAAACCCACCAGCCCACTTGGACCTGCCCTGGGCAGCCCCGAGACATGGTCAGGGCGATGCAGACTGCGTTTCCCTGCGAGAAGCCCGCCCCTCACCACGGCGAGCCCTGTCCCGATCCGCTCTTGACCTGTCCAGGGCACCACGGCCTTGCCTGGGAACTTGTTGCTGAGCCAAGATGAGCCCAAGGAGCCGGCAGTTGTGCCGGAATATTCCAAAGGCCCAGAGGCTGTCACAGACAGTGACGTGTGATAAAAATCCCCAAATGTTCCAGGACAGGAAGCCAGTTTAACCCTTCCCGTTTACCCCGCCTGCGGCTGCTGTAGAAACACAATCATTTCATAGCCAGAAATTTACCGACGTCCTGCTGGAAGCCATGAATGTGCCTGACAAGAGACTGAAACAGCGGTTGGCAGAGACATGAATAAAAGACCAGTGTCTTGGTTTAATCACCTGGCTCTAAGGTGGCGCTTGCTTTTTAAGGGATCCAGGGGCCAAAGCTGGAGGAGGAGGCAGCCAGCTCCTGGGGGGAGGGTAGCCGGCTCAACCCCCTGGAGGCCCTGTGTGACCTCAGCCTAGGAGGCTGAAGCTGCAGCCTCTGCCCACTGCGCCATCCTTGCGAAGGGGCTCCCGCAGAAGGGTTGGCTGTGCCCACTAGGAGCTGGTCCTGCTGCTCACTTCCATGGCCCTGGTGGCCTTCATGGAGACAGCCATTGTGTGCAAAGGACGGAAAGTAAGAGGCCCCCTCCTTCTCTCACCCTTTGTGGGGAAACCGAGGCAAGTGACACCTTAAGTCCCAGGGCGCTCTGTGGAGCAGCTGAGACTCCAGCTTCCATTTTCTGACTTCCAGGGAGCTATCTTTCTAGGTCCCTGGGAGGGAGGCTGGAAAGGGCTCGTTTCAGAATACGGTTGGGCAAGTTTGTTTTTCTCAATTCTGCATTAAAATTGTCTCGAGTCATGGTTCTGATGACACATGAATGTGTGTGTAGATTGTGCGTATATGCAATGGAGCCAATCGATTAGCAAAAGCATATTTTGCCATAATTTGTAACCTATGCTCCCTACATAATGACTGCGGTTTAAAGCACCTGAGAAAATGTTAATAAAAGGTATGAGTTCTCTGGCAATCTGGCTGACCTCCTGAAGGCCACGACTGAACCAAGGTATCTTCCAGAGCAGGAGCTATCTGGGTCACCTCAGGATAGAATCCCAAGGTAATTCTCTTCCTCCCCAAACTCACTCTTTCCCGCCCCCTCCCCCCTCCTCTCTCATCCTCTCTCCCGCCCCTCTGCTCTCACACACACACTTTTCCAGACGGAGCTGACGGCGCAGTCCCTCCGCCCCCATCACAGGTGGTCCAGCATCTGGCAGGAGGGGCGTATGGAGAATGGTCCCCCCCAGGACTTTTGGGGAGGACAGCCCTTAGCACAGGGGTGCAGTTAAGCCCTCTGACACCTGTCCCCCACCCCGAGACATTCTGTGCCACCCCCAGGTGGCTGGGAGCTATGGATCCCAGGGAACTGTGACTGTCAGAGACCATTGGGACCGCAGGACCGACTCCCACTCAGACCAGATCTGGGGTGAGAGGGGGTGGAGACGTGGGGATGTGGGGGCCCTGCATGGCTCAGGGCTCTGAGGGGACATTGAGCATAGGTGACCAACCCTCCCCATTTGGCCTGGACTAGCAGGGTGTGGGGCTTTTAGTGCTGAAACCAAGGAAGTCCCGGGCAGATCAGGACCCTGGTCCCTCGCTGGGATGGAAGTCTGGGAGATCTGTGGGGTGGCGGGTGTGCAGATGAAGGCTGAGGCCCCAAGGCCCCACCATCCCAACTGTGTGCTTGCCACCTGGGTCCCACCCCTTGGAGAGGACAGTGTTGAGTCCTGGCCAGTTCCCCCTGCCTGGGCTCAGGTGGCAGCTGAGAGGGGTGTGGAGGACACCTGGCCCCTCACACTGAGCCTGCTGTCCTCGGAACAGGCTCTGCAGAGACCAAGACACCAGCTATGGAATAGCTGATAGGCACCAATATGCCCTGGGCCCTGTCTCACCACTAGCATCACCACACACACTTCTCCGACGCTCCTCCCTCCCGGCTCTTCGAGATGCCAGCAGAAGGAGACACAGTGCCCGAGTGATGTGCAGCGGCACGGGGTCCCCCAGCCCGGCAGGTGAGAGAACGGGGCCGGCTTGGTTCAGGGAGGCCCCAGCTGAGGCCTCCTGTCCAGGCAGCCGGTAAATAGTTTAAATCCTTTTTTCCTCACTATCAAAATAATACATATTCATTGACAGAGAATTTGGAAATTAAGAACATTACAAGAAACAGAAGGAGAAAAACCCACCATATATTCACAACACAAAGAGAACACCTTCAACATTTTGGAATGTTTCCTTCCAGCATTGCCTGTTTCTGTGCATTTCAAAAACATAGTTAAATAATGTCTGTGTGTGTGTGTGTGTGTGTGTGTGTGTGTGTGTGTGTGTGTGTGTGTTCTAGCTGGGTTTTCTGAGATTCTGTATTTGTCTTTTTGGCATCCATTTGTCACAGGGCCAATTGTATTCACTATAATTTTCTTATTTTCTGTATTCTTGATGCTCTGGCATTCAAAGACTCTTGCAGACTGTCCCTCCCAGAGCTGGCTGATTTCAGAGCCAAGATAGGGCTTGGCCTAGAGCAGCCAGTCCTGTCTATACCCCAACCATCCGCTTCATCTCACTGGTACACCAAGCCAGCATTTTCCCTGCCCTAGATGACCTCAGAGCCAGGCAAGCAGGGACAGCCCCTACGCCCCAAAGTCCAACAGAATTGTTCATGCCAGCCAGTCCTGAGTCTACCCGCCTGCCCTGCCTTTCCCAAGGAAACCCCAAGAAAGGCTGGTGCCTACTCCTCCCCAAACTAACTGGCATTTCCTGGCCCTGTGATGCGTCGCAGGCCCCTCCTCTTGTAAATACAAAAATCTCCTTTCTGGGATATGGCCTCTTCGCGTTGACACTCAGTCATACCTCCGTAAACTCACTCCCGGGTTTGATTTTAACCCCACGTGTGCGTGTGTGTGGTGTGTGTGTGCATAAGCTTAGCTCACGTTTGTTGCTCAACACTGTAACCATGGGGGTCTCCAGTGCCGTTAGCATCCTTTTTCAATGTAATTTGTAATGATTGTATGGCATTCTCTCCTATGGATATACCCAAATCTCTCCTTTTGCTATATTGGATTTGCTTCTGTACATTTTTTAATTACCCTGAGATGAATCTTTTTCTGCATCAATATTTTCCCATAGCTTGGGATCTTTCCTTATGTTAGAGGATCAGAAATAGAAGCCCAGGATTGAAGGAACGTCTTCAGGTTGCAGATTCACGTTGACAACATCCTCTAAAAGTCTACCTGCATTTACGCTCCACTGAGGATGATCAGTTAATACAATTTCACTAGTTCAACAGGGAAACTGTAGTGTCCGGATGTACATTCTTTTGTTGACGAATGAGGTCGAACTTTCTTCCCGGTGTTTAGTGTTCCCTTATATTTACATCCTTGAGAACTCCCTACTCCTCTTCTCGACCTGCCTTTCAAGTTGAGGTATGTTTTAAAAAGGTAAACTGAGGCATAATATACTTTTTAAAGAGTTGACTTGAGCAAACCACCATTCATGAATCAGGCAGCCCCACACCAGAATGGATCAGGAGCTCCACCAAGGGAACACAGGGGCAGCTCTCCTAGGACATGCGCAGATGTCAAGCAGAGAAAGTGGTCTGATTGGTCGCAGGTACGCCATTGCCTGTTGTACACCAGAGAAGGTATCTGATTGGCCACAGGCATGCAGTTGACACACATAAAGCAGAGAAAGTATCTGATTGGCTGCTAGCAGGCAGAGAAGGTATCTGATTGGCTGCAGGCATGCAGTTGCCTGACATGCACCAGAGAAAGTATCTGATTGGTCGTAGGTACAGCAGTTGCCTAAGGTGAAGCAGAGAAAGTATCTGATTGGCCGCATGTACGCAGTTTCTTTATTGGGTCCGTCCCATTGGAAAGTCCCTGGTTATGTAAGTTTGTTGGCTGCCTCTGATTGGTGGAGCTTAAGTTCTGTTTCTCTTTAATGCAGGCATTTACAAGAAATAGCTCAGTTTCGCTTACCTCTGCAACTCAAGCTGGGGTGAGATCACTTGCGAGGACTGCCTGGCACCATTCGCTTGGGCCTCTTGGGGCCTAGTCTCCGATTTAATGTAACGGGCCACTGAGACTTCTTTATTTCCGTTTGGAGAAGTTCTTTGCTTATGAGGGGATTGTTACGGGTTGAATTACGTCTGTCTCCATTCCACTCCCCCATTTCTATGTCGAAGTCCTGACCCCCAGTACCTCAGAATGTGACTCATTTGGAAATAGCTTTTTGCAGATGGAATTGGTTAAAAGGAGGCCATGCTGGAGTAGGCTGGGCCCCTAATCCAATGACCACTGTCCTTCCGAGAAGGGGAGATTTGAGCACAGACAGGTGCTGGAGAACGCGTGTGAAGAGGGAGACAGGGACCGGGATGACGCTTCCACCAGCCAGGGAATGCCAAGGGTCCCAGAGGCGCAGAGAGAGGCCGGGGCAGACGCAGTCCCCCAGCCCCGGAAGGAACCAGCCCTGCCAACGGCTTCAGCTCGGGGGTCCGGCCTCCAGCAGCGCAAGAGAGTGAATGTCTGTTGTCTGGACCCCCGTCTGTGGTGCTTTGTGCAACAGCCGCGGGACACCCAGGGGTCAAGCCTGACCAGCCGGATGGCTGCCAGCATGGTCTCGATTTTCTCCATGGGGGATGGAAGGCAGCTCTGCTCCCCTTTCCTGGCAAGGCCCCTCGGAGCTGGCCCTGCACGGTTCATGTCACAGAGGGGCCCGATCCCCTTTTTCTCCCCAGAGAGGAGCTCTAGGGGGTTCCCGACAGCCCAGGACGACATGACGCAAGCAGCCCTCAGTCCCAAGTCCCCTCTGTGACACCCGCTGCAGGTGCCAGGCAGCTGTTGGGGGGCGGCTGTTGGGGAGCCCATCTGAGGGGCTTCCAGCCACAGCTGGTGAGGGTCCCTTGGTCCTCAGGGATGCATCCTGGATAGGAGTCCAGGACTGCAGCTCCTGCTCACCTGGTTGGGCAAACTGCGTATAGAACGAGGGCCCCAGCACCAGGAAGGGCCCCCAGCACAGAGGATGTGGGATGAGAGTGGTACTGGGCAGGGTGGAGTTTCAACAGACAGAGGTAGAAGCCTCAGGCCAGCACAGCCCTGGCAGCCTCGTGGCCCCCAATGCCGCTGGGTCAGAGCCAACAGGACAGCCTGGCCTCACGCTGAGGCCACAGCAGGGCGGGCTGGGGCTCACTCCCTGCACATTGCTTGCACCTCTGCTCTCAGCCCCACGCTTTGTTTCTAGGGGCCCGGAAGCTGCACACTCACTTCCAGAACTCCCGTGCCTACGGGCGCCTCAGCCAGCTCTGCCGCAGGAGGAGGGGCAATGCTTCTTGCTTCCAGTTGGCATCGGCGGCCCCTCCGGTCAGGGCAGGTGTCCTCGCCCTGCTGGGGGCAGCCCCTCTGGTCAGGGCAGGCATCCCCACCCTGCGGGAGGCGGCCCCTAGGGTCAGGGCAGGTGTCCCTACCCTGCTGGAGGTGGCCCCTCACCAGCACATCCAGAGCCAGCTGCAGCTCTAACAGCTCGGCAGCACAGGCTCCATGGGCAGCAGCAGCTCCTGTCACCAGGAGCACCCTCCTGCCCTGGCCTCCCCCAAGCCTGCTTCTCCCTTCTGCTCTTCTGGCACCTCGGTAGCTGATTCCTGGTGTTAAATCTCCTCTGTTGGAACATGTAGACCAGCTGGTTTTCCTTATAGGACCCTGACTGGCAGACCTACTGCCCTTTAGCGAAGTCAAGAATCAAAGAGCACCTCCAAGCCAGGTATAGGCCAGATTTGCTTCTGTGACATGTCCCATGCGGACCCACCTGAGTGTGACCACCCCATCTTACTGCAAATACAGGTGACAGCCCCAATGCAAATACAAACACAAATACAAGCACAGGTGCAAATGCAACTGCAAGTTCAGATGCAAATGCAATTTGCAGCTGCACCCGAGACCAACCCCTCCCCACCACAGATGCACACGCACACATACTGACATATTCACACACACATACTGGTGCAGCCCTGCAGCTGCACCCCTGAGACCACCCCCTCCCCACCACAGATGCACACGCACACATACTGACATATTCACACACACATACTGGTGCAGCCCTGCAGCTGCACCCCTGAGACCATCCCCTCCCCATCGCAGACACACATGCACTCATACTGGCATATTGCAGAGCACCGTGTGGTAGCATTGTTTTTAACTGCAAATACCTGAACTCAACCTAGATTTCCATGGATAGTTATGAACCTTCCAATGGGCTGCCACTCAGCCGCGGGAAAGGCTGGGGCTGTGTGGCAGTGGAGAAACAGCTCTGACGCATGGCATTTGCTGAAAAAAGCAAAAGTGCAGAAGAGCACTAGCGGTGAGCCCGCACCTCCGCATAGAGGCGTAGGCAGTGCTTGTGCCTATTTGCTCATTAACGCACAGAAGGATGCACACCGCGGTTGGCCATGCTGCTTGTCTCGATGGGCGGGCGGGGACCGGGTAGAAGGAAGGCTTCACAGAATAGATACCCTGCGGTGCCTTTAGAACTTTGAAGCATATGCCACTCTACAAAATACATGCAAAAATGTGCTATTTATTCAAGGACTGAACTTGAGTAACATGATTATTTCACAAAAGACCCTGGCACTCAAGGCAGGCAGTGGTGAGCCGGCAGCCCCCTCGGCGAACACAGCTGGCCCAGGCAGCTTGGAGCAGCAGTAGGAAGACTCCCTGCTCGCTGTAGACCTGAGCTCAAGCCAGAGGAGCCAGGCTTCCGAGCACCGGGGCCCTGAGGCCGCTGGAGAGGGTGGCTCTCCCACCCCTGGAGTTCCCCAGAGACCTCGTCTGGGGCCGGCGCCTATGCCTGCTTATTTGGCCATAATGAATGGGCACTCCCTGGAGCAGATGTGCCTAATAACAGTCCAGCAAGACTGCCTCAAGAGCCACCTCTGGGACACACTTTAAAGCCACACTGGCCACAAGGGACGCTGGTGATCCCGTGGTCTGCAGAGCTACCTGCTCAGTCTATTTATGTCACCTCACTCCCAGCCAGCCAGGGGAGGCCAGGGGAGCCCCTCGATGACTAATGTCACAGCTGCCACCAGGGACAGGCCCTGCAGCAGCCTGGAGGCCTGATGTGTCCATACCAACGATGGCCGTCAGCAGGGGCTGTGTGGAAGGACAGAGCTGCTGGGGCCTTGGGAAGACAAGAGACCGGCTGCCGCCTGTAACTGCTGGCCTGGCTGTGGGCTTTTGGCTGAGGTCTGCAGCCATGCACTGGCCACCGTGTTGTACAGGAAGAGGACTTCTCACTGGTTTCCACAGTCTGTGCACCCTGACAGCGGGTTGTCTACTGGAACCTGGTTCAACGTCTCTTGGTTGAAACCTTGGTGGTGCCAGGGCTTGAAAGCCCTTTCCCCGGAGGGCTCCCCTGTTGGCTCTGACTTGCTGTCCTCGGTAGGTGAGCCTTCCTGCCCGTCCCGTCAGCTCGAGGCCCACAGCCCCTCACCCCTCTTCCCAAGAGCACCCTGACACAGTCACACAGAGACCCGCACCGCTGACTTACGGACAGAGAAACGCGCATTGCTGACTCTGAGCACAGGTGGCCTGGCTCCTGCACAGACCCCCCACCAACCCAGTCTCTGGGCACACACTTCAAAGAGCCTGCCAGGGTTAATGCCACTTCAAGAAACCGGTGGCCTGGGAGTCTAGAATCTTCTGGCTATCAGTCAGCGGTGCCTGCCTGTAGGAGCCCAGGCCCTTAGCAAACTCCTAGGCTCTGTGCTTTCCCACAGCGAATCTTTAGCACTAAGATTCAGCTCCCAGCCTTTCATCGGTTGTGTATGTCTTTCCTGGCCCAAATAATATCGTGGTGGGACACTAGATAGGAGCCTGTCCCCAAATAAATGAGTTGCAACAGTAACTAGTTAGTTACTTGTAATTAAACACACAGAGACAGACTATTATTATTATTATTTTGAGACGGAATCTCGCTCTGTCACCGAGGCTGGAGAGCAGTGGCGCGATCTCAGCTCACTGCAACCTCCGCCTCCCAGGTTCAAGCGATTCTCCTGCCTCAGACTCTGGAGTCGCTGGGACTACAGGTGTGCACCACCAGGCCTGGCTAATTTTTGTATTTTAATAGAGATGGGGTTTCACTAGATGATTTACCCCTTTTAAAAACAATGCACTTGGCTGGGCGCAGTGGCTCATGCCTGTAATCCCAGCACTTTGGGAGGCCGAGGTGGGTGGATCCCTGAGGTCAGGAGTTCGAGACCAGCCTGGCCAACATAGTGAAACCCCGTCTCAAAATAATAATTTTGAATCTCGCTCATCAGAGCGAGCTTCTGTCTCAAAATAATAATAATAATAATAATAATAATAATAATAATAATAAAATGCACTTACAAGGAAATCAGCAAAGCTAGACCCCCACCTACTCCCGCCCCAACACCTTTAAGAAGAAAGATGCCCTCAAAGAAGGGGGGTGTCCAAAAAGGGCAGGACAAGAGCTCCCCAGGCCACATCGCTTTGGGACGTGGGGCGGGGGCTGCAGGCTCTACACAGCTTCAGGTTTCTCAGGGCTCCACCATACATCGGTTCCAAAGGCCCCTCTGCACAAGGAGACTGTCTCCTGCATGTATGAGTTATCTTCTTGCTTTGCCTAACAGGGTATTATAGCTTCGATGTCTTTCGTCACTGGCACAGAGGTTTTCTAACATCCGTCTTCGTGGCCTCCTGGTCCGGTGGCAAGCATCCCAAGCTCCGCTTCACAGATGAAAAAGCTGAGAGGTTAATTAAACCGTTTGTTGTCCCACGCAGAGTCAGCTTTGGGGCTGGGAGCCACCACAGGACCTGGCTCCCCACGACACCGGCTGAGCCCGGAAGCAGCTGAAGGTTCCAGGACCCTCGGGGCAGCTCCCAGGCCGGCGAGGAAGAAGCCAGGGTGAAATTTGCGGAATGGATTTGTTTCCACTCTTGGAATTCGTGATCACTTTGCTCCTCTGAGTCTCTAGGAATTAGCAATTGTGCCATCGACCAAATTAAGGTGCAAATTATTTGTATTGTTAAACGACTCCAGTTATTACTTGGAGAAAATTTTGCACTTCAATTAACAAAAGCACACATGGGGCAGTTTCTGAGCAAAGCCAGATTTTATAACACTCAGAAGAATGAGGTCCGGCCCCGGGCCTCGCCGCCCTCCTCCTGGCTTTCAGCTCAGCCTGTCCCCTGGCAGTGCCAGCAGCTTATCCGCAGGTCCCCGAGGCCACCCGTTCCCTTCGCACCAGAGCTCTCCCCTCTGTTCTTTGAGAAGCAGGAAGCTAGATGGATCCATCTCAAGGGGGATCCCCCAGAAGCAAAGCCTGAGAGAAGAGCTCTTGTGAAAGTGATTTACTGGGGGAATGGTCTGGGTTTTATGGGGTGAATTGCATCCCTCAAATTCCCATGTTAAAGCCCTAACCCTCAGTGCCCCAGAATGTGGCTGTTTTTGAGACAAGGTCTTTCAGAGGTGATTAAGGTAAATGAGGTCACTAGGGTGGGCCCAGATCCAGTATGACTGGTGTCCTTATAAGAACAGGAGGAGAAGACACACGGGGATGCCAGGGGCCTGCTTGCCCAGAGGGACAGCCCTGAGACAGGGCAGCAAGAGGGTGGAGTCTGCGTGTCCTGGAAGGTGGGTGGGGGAGTGGGGGAGAAAGCAGCCTTGGGGGCCTGGATCCTGGACCTCCAGCCTCCAGATGGTGAGAAATCAGGTCTGCTGTTGAAGGCCTCAGGGTGTGCTATTTCAGTTTAGTGGCTCAAGCCAACTAAGACCAGGGGAAGGGGCTGGCAGCCAGGGAAGACGGCTAAGCCAAGATGTGGGCGGGAGGGGAGCAGCGGCAGGGTCCTGGGGCTAGGAGCCTGAGCTACATGCCAGGTGGGACCACCCGTCCCAAAGACTCACGGCTGTGAGCCCCTAGCAGCTTACGGTTGCAGTGGGTGATGAGTCCTGGGGAGAGGGATGGGAGTGGAGACCCTAACAGCACCTGCCCCTCCGCATTGGACGCTCAGCCAGCAAGATCAATGCAGAACTCACGGAACAGCCAACCACCAATCACCGATCAGCCAACACCCTGGCAGAATTATCTCAGCATCTGGATGTTGGCACCACAGGGACCTCAGGCTGCAGAGAACAGGCTGGCCTATGAACGGAGACGGTGCCTGAGCTCGTGGCTGCAGAGGACAGGCCAGCCTGCGAGTGGAGACGGCACCCGAGCTCGCGGCAATGTTGCGGGGAAGCCAAGACCAACCCCTGCCCGTGCCCGGTTTCCCCGAGGCCCCGTGTCCTCAGAGCGCGTCTCGTGGTTCCGGGCTCACTGGCTTCTAAGTCTTCTCCTTCTGTCCTTCTGTCTCAGTCTCAGCCTTCACTCTTCCTTCTCTCAGGGAGAAAAATAAACCTCTGTGGCTGGCGTTTGCAAAAGGGAGAGACTCTTCCTGAGGAAATAAAATAGATTTCAGTCAATGAATATGCAAACTTGAGGCAGGCCAACACCCAGGAGTCAGGGCTGGGAGACATTGGAGCCCAGCAGCCCCCTGGCCCGACGCCCACACAAAGCCCATTTCAGCCAAAGGTATCAGGTTGTTCACTGTGTAAACACACACCACACACACACACACACACACGATAAGCAACCATTTTGGGGGGCAAGTACTGAAACTCAAAACTTGTTAGCTTTCAAGACCTGAATTCAGCTGCAAGAGGCTTATCCTGGCTTTTACATTGCAGCATGGTTTTTAATTTTATTTTCTACATTTTTTTAAAATCAGGCAGCCTCCAGAATCACAGAAGATTCAGAGAAACTCCCAACAGCATGGTATTTTAAAGCAGGAAACAGGTCTTGGCACTTTTTTGACACCATGGAGTCCTGAGTGGGTGGTGGCCATCACGCTGGGTGCAGACCCGAGAGCAGAACCTGGGGTCTGCAGAGAACCTGAGCCGGCACCCAGAGTGGCGGGGGAGGCCGTGCCAGGAGAGCCAGCCTTCCATAGAGCTTGGAGAGGCTGGTGTCACAGGGGAAATGAAAACAGGACTTCAAAGAGGGAGCGGGCAGAAGCCCCTGCAGGGGATTTTCTGGTTCCTAACCTGGAACAGGCACCGGTTCTGAGGCACACAGCACGCAGCCTCTGCCTTCACCATGTGCTGTCCACACGTCCCGAGCCCCTGGCTGCCCAAAAGAGAGTCACCTGCCCGGCTAAACCCACACCCCAACCCTCCCTGTCACTGGCTGCTGCTGGGGGTCCATTCACCTCAACCCCATGCTTAGCAGTGACCACCCTGGGCTCTTGTAATGGATCCTCATGTCAGCCACTGTGTGAGAACCTTTCCCCGCAGTGTTATCCCAGTCACATGAATCAGGCTCTGAGTGAACGCGTGTATTCCTTGGGTGCCTACTTAGAGCAGAAGGAAAGCAAAGATGCTCACCGGGTAGCCAGGAGCGCCGCTTCCCTGCCCATGCGCCATGGTGTGTGTGTGTGAGCTCAGGGCACGCGGGCACACACGTGTCCGTGGTTCCCACAGGAGGAGCAGGGCCCTCCTGAAACCCAAGAGCCACATCCCCAGGAGCCTCGGGCAGATGAGCGGGAGGTACCTGGGAGCTGGAGACAGGGCCGCCCCTCGCGAGGACGGGCTTTTCCGCCTCACTTCTGCCTTAGCGGCATTGATACCACGCGCATTCACCTCTCCGTGCCTCGGTTTTCTCACCCATAAAGTGGGGGCTCGCTCTGCCTGCCCAGTTGCTGTCAGATTGGGCCAGGCCTGTACAAGCCCACATGGGGACCCCTGGGTGACTGCGCTCTCCCACCTCCCCTCCCACCCTTCCCGCTGCGGGACTCCACACACCAGGCCCACCGTCACCCCCTGCTCTCAGTCTCCAGGCACAGCCAGGTGTGGGCGGTGCATGGCGGGCCCAGCGGTCAACCGCGGCAAAGGTGGTTCCCAGGTCCCTGTGTAGCGGGGGTCCCGTAGCCCCATTGACTGCAGGTCTTGGCTGGGCCAAGGCCATAGAGCAGCATGGCCAGCACTCCTGTTCCATCCTCTGCATCTCTGCTTCAATTGCAAACAACAGCCACAGTTCACATCTGGATCTGTGTGGTGCCCTTCAGTTTAAAACCCCTGCCCAGAGGCCATCTCCTTTGAAACTTCCCAGGCAGGTGTCAAAACGATCCTCCCTCCACATGTCACAGAAATGCAGCAGCAAGAAGCCCGAGGCCTCCAGGAGGAGCTGCGGGCTGGCCCCACCCACAAGCAGCTGCGGGCTCACAGTCACGGTCCTCTGAGGACAGGCTTGTGCTTCCCACTCCCCGGTGAGCGGGCACCACGGATGTCAGTGCCGTGACTGGCCTTTGTGCTTTGGATAAACTCCATGTGGAATGGAAGGAAAGATGGGAGCATTCTAGAACCTGAGCATTTTGTAGCAAGAGCACTGTTCTCACCGCTGATTTCCAATGTCCAGGGCAGAAAGATGAAGAGATATCGTTTTCCCTTAAATGGGAGTGAAGGACAGAGGCAGCGTGGTGGCCGGTGATGGACAGACCCGTGTCTGCTGGCAGGACACCCCGGCCGCCTCCGTCTCATGGATAGAGCAAGCAGTTTTCTCTATGACGTGGCTTCTTTAGGAGGCAGCTCGGCTGCCCAGATCCCTCCTTATTTTTTAGTTCTCAAGCCCTGTAGGGTGTTTTCGGTCGCAGTTGTTTGGGCTGTGGTCCTGACCCTCCTGAGTTCCAGTGGCTCTGTTCAGGAGAGCTGCCTGGGGCCGGGACTTCTGAAACACACACTGAGCCACAGGCCGGCCCGGCGGCTTGGGTTCACCGCCGCCTCTTTGTGTGTGATGTCCTGGGATAGGCCCGTGCACGTTCAGATGACACTGTACATATAAATAACTTGTAGCCGAGAACAGGATGGGGCGGGGAGGAGGGGAGGGCAGAACGTACCACAGCAGCAGAAGTCACTGTGGATGCCTTCGTAAGTTGCATGGAAGGTTTTTAAACCTAGCCCTGCCGAGCAGCCCTCTCCTGGTCCGGGAGAACGATGGGGAGAGAGCTGGCGTTCAGCTTTCATCACTGGAGCCGTTCCTTCTTCCGGCCCCCCGAGGGCCTGTCCATGATCACACTTTGTCTTGTTTCGGGGGTGGCCCCTGTGACCCCTTAGAGGTGCAAATCCAAGGCAGTAGAAGCCGCCTGCCAGGCCAGTGCCCGCCACTGCTTAATTCAGGCGGAATCACGGCTCAGAGGGTTCCCTCCACTTTCCAAGGGAAACATGTCCACGGGGTATCTCTTCCTGCGTATTTTCTCACGACCCTTCCTTACATCCAAGGCCACGTCTCTCGACACGTTGTCCCCCCTCTGCCGTCACACATGGCGTAATCCGCGCCCCCCCTACCCCCCACATCAGCTGCTCAGCGAGCCGCACTCACAGTCACAGGCCCCGCCGGCGGCAACCCCACCTCCTCCCGCCCAGGCAGGAAACGCTCAGCAGCACCATCTGCTTGGCTCCTCAGCCAGCCGCGCTCCGGGAGCCCTGGGGGCGAGGCGGCCGTGGCGTCCTCCACGTCTGTGTCTCCCCGCACGTCAGCCGCCCCACGCTGTCTCTGGAAGCTTCCGGAGTACCCAGGCCTTCTGCACTCCACGCACTGCATGTGCGCCTGAGCCGCTGTCTCGATTTTACAAAACGGAATCTAGCAGTCCATGCACTCAGGGAGGCGGCTGGCAGGATTTTCTGGCAAACTAAGGGTGTTCTTTCCTGGCCAAAGGAAAAGTCTTTTGGAAAATGAATAATCTCTTCCTAATTTGCTTGACTAGGAAGATGGGTTTTTGCACAGTGGGTTTGTTGAAGGGAGGCAGCTCTTGAAATTTTGTTCATAATCCGACATGACAAGGGTGACCGTATAATCTACCGACCCATCTGAGCCCCTTGAGAAGAAAGGAGAAGGTTGTTAATACACGCACTGGGACCACAGGCATCACTGGGCCTGTCCTGGGCAAACTGATTTATGATGGCCGCCGTTGACCTTCGCTGTGGTCAGCCTAAGTGACCTCAGCGTGCACCTGCCATGATTTCCTGGAATCACTCTCTGGGTTCCAGGCTTCTAGGCCTGTGGTTTTGGGGCTGGTTTCTCTGAATTCTCAGATCCTGGTCAGAAGTTTGTGGGCAGATTGGTGTCTGATGAATGAGGGCCGCTCATTCAAGAAACCAGCGTAGCAAATGGGAGGTGGTGCAGGGTCTCTCTGCGAAGCGCTCAAGCCCACTTCCCTGCCCCCACGTGTCCTGATTTTACTTTGAAATTTCCAGTGGATGCAATAGTGCCGACCATGTGCACATGGGGTCAGGATCTCAGGCCCGCCAGCTGGACTACAGCAAGTACCCATGGTCTCAGGGAAAAGGTCCCCTGCTGCAGGCTGTGGGGGACCTCGGCTCTCACAGTGGCTATGCCTGAGAAAGCCCCTCCAGACTCGCCAACCTGGCCCGCGCGTCCTGTCCGGAGGGCAGGGTGGGGCTGGTGCTGGTTACAGATGATCCTCAAGGGCACAGCACGCAAGCCACCAGGCGCCCCTCCTGCAGCTGGGTCAGAGAGAGGCACTGGGAGCCTGGCTCCCTCCAGGTCAGTCTCCACCAGGGCCACCCCGGTGACCTGCAGGAGAGGAAGGCAGACGAGGAGTGGCCCTGCCCCTTAGGGCGCATCGTGCAGGTGGCACAAGGGGGTCATCTGCATCCTGGTCAAGGGGGAGCCCACCTGCCTCCTCCAGGTCGGGAACACTCCCTGGAGGCCATGGTGTGGAGCGTCCACCCGGGCTTCGTCCTCCAGCTCAGCTGCTGGGCCCTGGGAAGGGACAGGCCCAGCACCCGTTCAGCCGGGCTGAGCCGCAGGCAGAGCGCCTTGCCTGGGAGAGACAAACCCACCGCTGAGGACACACCCTCAAGGTTCACCCTTCCCCACTTCTGTGTTGCCCTTAGCTCTAAGGTGCTAATTCCATCTCTAGTTTCAACAGGCTGATTGCTCTTAAGGGAAAATGGGGTTGCACAATCCGGCTGTGGTGGCCGGGGCTCTTGGTCTCCCCCCAGTAAGAGGATGGACTTTCCAGCCCTGCTGATGGTCAGCGGGGACCACGTGGAGGCTTTGGCAGATGAAATGGGGCACATGACATAGCCCTGCCCCAGTGGAAGCCTCAGAGCCATGGCTGGGCTCCACCAGGCTTGCTCCAGCGGCCATGAGGACCATGCCCCACAGGCAGGGGCTGCACCTCCACCCTGGTTCCAGAAGGAAGAGGCACAGCCGACATGCCGCTCGAGCAGGAAACCCTGGGGAAGGTGGGACATGAGATCCTGTGTCTGATACTACAGTGTAACCGGCTAGAAACTGACTCAAAGGGGCATTTTTACAGCAGAAAGAGGCGAAGCACACGTGCATCTGCCATCCTGTGATTGTCAGGCCCCGTTTAGGAGTGGACAGCTCCATGGTTGTGTTTGAGCCCCACACCGGCCCTGGGGGGTTATACTGCCCTGGAGGACAGCTGACCTCAGTTCTCCAAGCTTCCATTCCCCCTTGTATGGGCACAGCACCCCAACCTTCTTTTGGCAGCTCCCACGCCCCCCAGTGCTGGTGGGCTCTAGGGCTCTGGTCCCTGATGCTCAGAGGCACAGAGACAGCATTCCTCAGGGGCCCTGATCCTCTGGCCCGGTTCAGACTGTGGTGGGGCCTCGGGACCTTTCCAGAACCTTGGAAGTGGGTAGCACCCTTTGCTGGGACAGACATGCCTGGAGCTCCGGGCATTGGGCCACTGCTGGGATAAGCCCACGACAGAATGAAGCCGGGCAGGCAGAAAGAGCTGCGGGCTCCCTGGCCACTCCTGTTTCCGTAAAGGGCCTGGTGTCTCATTTCCTACTTACCTTGGACTTTAAGGGCCTCCTGCAGCCTTTGTCACACACTCTTCTTATTTTTTTGTCCATTACAACCTTTTACGGCGGCACAAGCCATTGTTCTCAGGGCCAACGCGTGAGTCCTGTGGTGAGTTTCCTATTAGTGTGGCTCGAGAAGGTACCCCGTGCTGACGAAGCCTGGAGAGGCAGGGCCACACTGCAGAGCCTCAGGCCAAGGGTGGCGGTGCTGGGGTCTCATGAGCCCAGGGTTCACTGCCCACCAGGCGGCATTAGCCTGCGGCTTTGGCGCCCAGAAGTCCCGACAGGCAGCAAAGTCTCCTGCTCCTGGCTGCTGGCCAGGAGAGCCCAGCTGGGCCTCACCTGATCGAGAGGAAACGCCTGTGTCCTCTAATCAGCATCTCACTGACAGAGTCACCCCTGGTACAGCAAGTGGGCTTTCAAGGACATCAGGTGGCTGCATTCAGGCTGGTAACAACACCGCCCTCAGCTCTCACAGTCTGAGGAAGCCCCCTGAAAAGTCACTGGAGTGGGGCTGCAGGAACCCCACAAAGGCCTTTCCTGCTCCTGAATAATTCCCAAGCACCTAGGACTTCCCGGGCCTGGCTTCTCCGCCAGTCCAACCTCCGGACCTGAAGACCAAGCAGTGCCCAAGTGTGAGGTCCCTGGAGAAGGAGGAGGAAGAGTGGAAGGAGGTGGAGGGTAATGCATCCAGAGGAAGACGCTGAGGGTCAGGCTGGCCCTGGGTCTGACCTGTCCTTGGGGTGAGCAGGCTACTGCACTGTGGGAGTGGGGGGGCCCCTAGGCAATTGGCCAAGAGGTAACTGATGCAGAGAGAGGAATGCTGAGGCCACGGCCATTCTGGGCCTTCATGGCCATAGCTCGTGAGCACCCATGGGTGCCAGCACTGAGGCCAGCTGGGCTCCAGCATTGGGAAGCTCAAGGAAGACCAGTCACGTTTCCCCTGAGTAAGATGCTGCCCTGGGGCTTGTGGGGCCACAGACAGACACCAACCCTGGCGCTCTTAGGGTCAGGAGGGGTGGCCCAGGGTAGCACAGCGTGGAGAGACCACGCGGAGGTGATGTCCTCACAGACCCCGCCCCACTCCCCCAGGGGCCATCCCACAGAGCCTTGCCTTTGTTTTTTGTTTTTTCTATTCCTGGCTTTTTTCATTTGCTTTCAGATCAACTGCTTCATTAAAAAACATCCGCCTAAACTGTGGAGACAGAGGAAGGATCAGTGCTTGCCAAGGGCTGGGGGAGGAGGAACAGGCAGAGCGCAGAGGGTTTCAGGGCAGTGCCGCTCTGCGTGACGCCATCACGGAGGGTCCAGGTCATCACACGTCTCTCCAAACCCCTAGAATGCCCAACACTCACTCTGAAGCCTTCTGTCAATGTGGGATCATCTGTCGTAAAGTCTGCACCGCTGTGGTGGGGGCGTGGATAGTGGGGGAGGCTGTGCGTGTGTGGGGGCAGGGAGTGTATGGGAAATCTCTGTACCTTCCGCTCAATTTGGCTGCGAACCTAAACTGCTCTAAAAAAAGTCTATTTTTAAAAAGCATATGCCCGAAAAGTCCTTGAAAATGCATCTTTCCCTAAATATTCAAATTTATGTTCATTAATAAAATAGCACATATTTATTCTAATTTTTAAATCTTCACAAATATCAGTGATTGCATGATTTGTTCTCAAAAACACTTTTCCAAACTACATCTAGAAGCCACATTTCTGTGGTCGGCTCGCCAGTGGTGGGCACGCGTCAGGTCGGATGGGTAGGGCCTGGGGTGACCCTGGCTTTCTGCCCTCTGAGCACGACATGGAGGCTGGACTTGTGCCTCTGCAGCCCCTCGAAGCACTGCCACCATCCTGCCGAGGGCCCAAAGCCTTGTCTCCACCTGCGCGCCTTGAGTGTCCTCGCTGGGAAATGGGCACAGCAGGGCAGCGAAGGTGCTGGTGCTGACGTTCCATGACTGTGAGAGCCGGGAGGCACCCCATGCGGAGACCAGGCACAGATCCCCAGATCACTGAAGGGACGATCCCCCAACAGGCAGAACCAGGGTACGGCCCGGGGTTCTGACTCCTGGGGATTCAGGGCCCTGGGCCTGGTGCCAGCTGGGCACGTTTCTCAGCCCATCAGAGGACACAAAGGGCAAATGGAGCAGGTTGAATTGTGTCCCCAAAATGATCTGTCGAAGCCTGCACCCCACAACCATGAATGCAACCTTCTCTGGAAGTGGAGTCACTGCAGGTGTATTAAGATGTCAGTTAGGATGAGGTCACCCTGGAGAGAGGTGGGCCCTGATTCGGTGCGACTGGTGCCTGGTAAGCGGAGGAAAGACGCAGAGATGCGCAGAGGGAAGCTGCGTGAAGGCCCAGGAAGGAAGGCCTGAGAAGCTGGAGGCAGAGGCTAGAGCGATGCCTCTGCAAGCCAGAGATGCCAAGGGCTGCTGGCAACAGAGAAGCCAGAAGAGGCAAGGAACAGATTCCTCCCTGCAGGGAGCACGGCTCGACACGCCGCACCTTGATCGCAGGCGTCTGGCCTCCAGCCGGAGCCGGGACACGTTTCTGCTGTTGTAAATGACCCCATTTGTGGCCGTCTGTTGCAGCAGCTGTGGGGAACTGGCACCGATCTCAGGGCCGGAAGCACAGCTGGGCACGGCTCTCCCCAGCTCTCTCGGTCACTGTCCCCTGTCACAAACCCCGTGCAAAACAGCCTGAGGGGGTTCCTTGCTGCCCTCCAGGGCTGTGTCTGAGTGCTGAGCCAGCCCCTGGAGGCCAGGGCCTCAGAGCACAGGGGAGCCACAGGAAGGGGTGTCTCCACCCGGAATTGGAGCAGGAGGGCCAAGGCCTTCCAGGCTGAGGAAGGGAACAGGATCAGGGCCTCCTCCTCTCAAGGTGGCCCCTGCCAGCGGCCCCTGGAGCTGCAAGGCTACAGGGACCTGGCCCCAGGTGGGGCTCCTGTCACCCCCCTGCACGGAACTCACTCTCACCCCCAGCCTTTCCTACCCCTCACACCACCACCCTGCATCCCACCCCAAACTGGGTAACCCCCCAGCAATCCCCCAGGGACACAGAGAGGAGTACCTGGGGGATGACTGGGAGGAGTGCTGGGGAGAGGAGTGCTGGAGGATGACTGGGGGAGGAACAGGGAGAGGAGTGTCTAGGGGATGACTGGGAGGAGAGCCGAGGAGAGGAGTGCATGGGGGATGACTGGGGGGAGGTTGGCCAGGAGCACCTCAGTGGCCGCTCAGAAGTGCTCAGCTTCACTGGTGCTTGAGCACTTCCAGTGTGCCCAGAATGAGGAGCACATTTACGAAGGCAGCAATAGAGATGGTGGCAGCCTTCATCAGAGAGATGGGGTCCTGCCCAGGCCTCATAAGGAGGTGCGTGCTGGCAGTGACAACGGGGACAAGAGGGGCAGAGATGAGACACTGGGATGCAAGGATTGCATTTGAGCCCGATGAAGAAGGAACTGTTGAGAGTATCCCACAGTTACAGACCCAGAGTGGGGGCATCCCCATGGCTCAGGGAACCCCAGCTTCAGAGACACACACAGCGTGCAAGCCACATGAGCAGGCCGGGATACCCCTCCACCACGTGAGCCCAGCAGTCACCAGGGCATTTTGGAAACAGCGTGGTCTTGGTCCCGAGCTGCAGATACACAAGATGTTCCCAGGGGAAAACTGAGTGAAAGGTACATGGAATCTCTAGATTTTTTTTTTTGCAACCTCCTGTGAATATGTAATTGTTTTAAAATAAAAAGTTAATCAGACCAGTATGGTCAGTGGTGTGACCATGTGTGTGTATGCATGTGTATGTGTGTGCGTGCATGTGTGTGTGTCCGTGAGTGCATGTGTGTGATGTGTCTGTGCATGCGTGTGTGCATGTGTGTGCATGCATGTGTGTGATGTGTCTACATGTGTGAGAATGTGTGTGCATGTGTGTGATATGTGTGCACGTGCGCATGTGTGTGCATTGTGTGATGTCTGCATGTGTGTGCATGTGTGTGATGTGTCTGCATGTGTGTGATGTGTCTGTGCATGCATGTGTGCATGTGTGTGATGTG
The DNA here is from genome assembly GCF_000001405.40 of Homo sapiens. Lineage (NCBI taxonomy): Eukaryota > Metazoa > Chordata > Mammalia > Primates > Hominidae > Homo > Homo sapiens. The sequence continues at coordinate 43,368,989 of NC_000021.9, forward strand.
TCTGCCTGTGTGTGCATGCATGTGTGTGCGTGTGTGCATGTGTGTGTGCATGTGTGTGGGCTGATGGCAGAATTTCAGGAGCATGGCTAATCTGACCCATTTCAATCAAGTCCATAAAAAAAAAAATGATTCTGGAAAGACACCTCTATGGCAAACCACGAAAAGACTTGGTGACAGAACCACTCAGCCATGACACCAGGCTCATCCCAAGGACAGTGGTGACCCGTTTCCATTTGTGCCACTTGATGTGGATGGAGGCAGCACAGCGAGACAAGGGCTAGACACACACGCATGTGAGGGACGGGATGAGTCATCGGCACACGTCCCTGTTACCGTCACTGTCAGCCCAGAGCTGGAGCCCTGTGAGGCAAGATGAGGGGCAGATGAGAGCTGAGAGCAGAAGGAAAGAACCGGACGCCCTGGCAGAAAACACAGACCTGGGCGGGAGGGCAGGGGGAGCGCAGGGGAGAGGCAGGGGCTGCAGGGTCGAGGCGTGGAGGAGGCTGTCAGGAAAGGCTGCTGTACTTTCTTGAATGCAGCCCCGCTGGCCAAGACACAGGAAAAGACAGGGTTTTATTTTAAAATGCTCTGTGTCAGCTGGAATGGGGGTCTTGGATGAAACCTGCGGGGACTGGACCTCACAGGGCAGCCAGCAGTCGGTGTCACAGCAGCTCCACAACTGTTGGGATACCAGGTTTTCTTGGTGGGCAAAGTTTACTTTTCGCTCCATCTCTCAGAGCACGAGCCCCTCTGACAGGGCAGACACCGATGATCTCAGCACAGCCTTGGCACTGCTTGGCACAGCTGCGTGGGGATCGTGCGTGAAACTGCGACTTGACTTTTTCCAAAGCCCCAGGATTCCCCTTGCGTGGGAGCCTGGTGCTGTGCCGGTGGTCACCAGCCTCACTGCCCGCCCACTCCCCACCCTGTGGCCTCTCAGTGTCCCCTCCAGCACACAGGACCCGGCTCAGTTGCTCAGAGAGAGATTTTTCCAGCAAGGCGTTTGCAGGCGGCCTGGCCGTGCTTCTGACCCACCGGCAGGTTTCTGAAGAGCCGCTGCAGGCTCTTTCTTGCAGGACATGAAGCCATAATTAGTTTTTCCTTCCTTGCCAAATTGGGAGCCTGCGGGTCTGGTAGCACTGAGGAAAATACAGCTCAGTGTATGGCTGAAGAGTGAGCCCAGGGCACACGTGTGTGCACGTGCGTGAGAAAGAGAGAGGAGACTGAGAGGCAGGGAGCCTCTTCTCTGTGGATCTCACCTGTCTGTCCACGCCGCACGCCCCCCGGCAGCACCACTTTCAACACCACTTTTCAGAGCTAAAAGAGTCATCTGTTTTGCTTCAGCAAAAGAAACGTCAGCCTAGAAGCTTTAAGCATATTCCCACAATGGGCTTTAATTATCAGAGAAGGTTGGCAATACGTTTGCATTTTAATTAAGATTAATGAATCATGCATGATTCATCAGGCCGTTCCCCTCCGTTGGCGGAGCAGTGATGAGAAGGCCACCATGTCGCTGAGGGGCCATCTGCAGGGACGGTGTGTCAGATCCGAGAACCCCACTCAGTGGTCCCTCCCCTGGGGCCCCAGCGGCAATCTGTCCTCATACACGCTGCAGCCACGCCTCAGCCATGTGACCTGGGGGTTTCTGCTTCTCCAGAAAGGGCGTACTGGGTGCAACTACACACACACTTACCCTGTAGGTGCCAATAAACGCAACGTTAAACAACAAGTCTATGGGTAAGTAAGTTTGAGAAATGCCAGTTTACATGAAGGTGAGCAGAGTTGTGTGTGTTTCCCTGCAGGACTCCTCAGGCCTTTAATACGCACATGTGCGCTGTGAACCCCCAGATTCATTTGCACACAGAAGCTATCCTTCCAGAAATCACCTTTGGGATTAGTACAGTATTCCCTGTAAACCAAAAATAGAATTCTAAGCCCCCCAACTGCCTGAATGGCTCCCCTACTCTTGGCCAAGGGGATCCCAAAGGAACCTGATAAACGAGTTCAGGCCAGGATGGGAAGAGGTAGGGTTGGACATGCCTCATAATACTCTCCTCCCTCTCTGGAGTTTAGGCACAGCTGACCAGCATTAACATGAAAACAGAGATCATAAGACTGGCAGAAAAGACTCTTTGTAGCAATAAGACACCAAATTCCACCCTGACTCTAGTATAGCATCACATGACTGATAGCAGGCCTGGAAAAAAATAAAAGTACTTTACCCCAAAATATATTTCTCTGACATATTTTGAAATGGCCCTGCAAAGCTGTCTCTTAAGGGGGAAATTTGCATTCTGTAGAGAATTCCCTGCCCTTAATAGGTCTTTTACAGAGAGTCTGACACATTTTAAGGTCCCATAAGAGACATTTGCCATCTAGTCTCTCTGAAGCCTGCTATCTGGAGGCTTCATCTACATAACAAAAACCTTGGCTTCCACGATCCCCTTGTCTTAACTCAAGCATCTCTTTCTGCTGACCTCAAACTTTTTAGGCAAAGCTCAGCTCTTTCAACCAATTGCCAATCAGGAAATCTTTGAATCCACCTATAACCTGGAAGCCTCTCACTTTCTGGGTCACACCAATGTATACCTTACATGTATTGATTGATATCTTTGCCTGCAACTTCTGTACCCTAAAATGTATGAAAGCAAAGCTGCACCCCAACCACCTTGGACACATGTTCTCAGGACCTCTTGAGACTGTGTCACAGGCCATGGCCCTTAACCATAGCAAAATAAGCCTCTACATTGATTGAGACCTGTCTCTGATATTTTTTGGGTTACACCTCCAAACCAGGAATTGGTGATCCAGGAAAACACTCCATTGTGGGGTGATTTGAGTGGGTGACAGAAGCCCAGGCCAGCCCTCCAGGAATGGATGCACACTGGCACCAGGGATGCTTGCATAGAGATGGGGTTGGGGGTGTCCTTCTGAACACTCCCACAACAACCGGGCGCCAGCTTGCATCTTTGCTTGACGTGGCCGTCGCCCGGCTGGCCTGTGAGTGCTGCATGGGCCACGCCTGCATGTGGCTTGCTCACCGTGGGATCCCCAACACTTCTGGAGGTGCCTGGACCACAGTGGGTGTCCCCAGACAGCCGCAGAACACACAAGGGAATGTGCATTCAACCCTCATCTCCTAAGGAGGCTGTGGCCCACCCTGCTTGGGATGGCAATGGAGGGGCCAAGTGTATGAATAACCCCCCAAACCATTAAAACATCAGCGTCCCTCAAACAACTTCTTGAGATGGGGTGTGTGAGGCTCACTACACGTAAGAAACATAATGAATAAAACACAAAGGCCATTACAACCCACTTAATAATTCAGGGACTATGAAGATAGCTGGCGTCTATGAATTAGAAAATAAGGGAATTCTTCTGGGTGTGGAGGTAGGGGAAGAGGTTTCTGCGTATTCATTCCGCCCCCTGCCATGTGGGTATCTATTGCACCGGGCTGGAGGTCTGGGTCTCAGGGCTTGGGGAGCTGTTCCTGCACCTCTGCCTGTCCCCACCACCAGGCAACAAGGTCAGTGTGGCCCACCAGGGAACCACACCAGGGCCAGCAGCTCCAGGCCCCATCTCCCTGACCCCCTGGCCAGACCTCGGGAGATGAGAGAGACCCAGGCCTAGCCAGGGCGGGAGGTGGGGAGGGGTTGGGGGATCATTCAGGGCACAAGGGGAGGAGGAGAGAGCATTCTGGGGAACGGGGTCTGGGGAGGGAACCAGGACAGAGAGGCATGGTGACAGCTGGAGGTGAGTCTGGCAGGGACCCCTCAGAGGACAGCAGTGGTGTTTACCCCCACAGTGCGGGCAGCCTGTGGTGAATGACAGCAGTGGGGCTTACACCCACAGTGCGGGCAGCCTGTGGTGAATGACAGCAGTGGGGCTTACACCCACAGTGCGGGCAGCCTGTGGTGAATGAGTGTGTCTGGGCCTCCCCCGGGGGCTTCGGCACCCGCTTCCCTGTTTCACCTTGTCTATCTGAGCATCGGTAGGAAGATGGCAATACCTCTGCTGAATTTCATCCTCTGAAAGGCGGAAACCAAACCCTCAGAGCCAGGTGAAGCCAAAAAGAAGGGACCCCTGACGGCTAGAAAGAGCGGCCCCAGAGCCGCACCGTGGGATGAGCCAATGGCACGTCCCGGTCGCCGGCCGGGTGTGGTGCTGCCCGGAGCCACAGAGCTGCCAGGGCTTGCACACGTCTCTGGCCATGACGCATGTTTTGGTCAGGACCAGGCCTGGAATTTGGTTCTCACTTTACTGAGAAACCTGGCAGCTTCTCAGGCCACCGCCCAGGTCACCTGCTCACCAGCAACGTGAACCACAGGAACGGAGGCTGTGCGGGAGGCGGCTCTGCTCTGTGCTGGGCCCCCCTCCTCCTCACTCACCCTCTTCAGTCAAAGAAAAAACGAAATGGGGCCGCATAAGAGTAATGCAAAAGTCAACGTTTCTGGATTTTCAAGTTTTCCAGACAGAGCTGGAAACCTGGGTTTCATGTCAACTCTCCCACGTGGTCAAGAGTTGAAGTCCTGGCCTGGCCACTCATCAGCCTGGGACAAGCTCCAGACTTGCTCCAATTAGGTTTAAGAGCCTTGACAAATGGTGGTGTTTGCTGGGGACGGAAGTGGTTGGGGGAGGAGGGGCTTTCAGTGAAGATCCGAAGTTCCTGTGAGATGTATCCAAGGACTGATGCCCGTGAGATGCCAGGACCCTGGGGCTCCGTCGTCCTCAGGCCTGGGCCCACAGGGCTCTGCACCAGACCTTGGAGCCCCTGGCCCAGCACACCCCACTAGCGGGGCCCCTGACCCTGCCCCACCCAGGCTCAGGACCCACTGACCGTCTGCTGGGGCCAGTCCCTCAGCCACATCTTCCAGCCCGGCCACCTGGCCCCTGCTCGGGCCAAGCGTTCAGACTACAAAGGTGTTTGCTGTTTGTCTGAAATTCAAACTGAGCCGGGCATTTGTGGTGTCTTCTCTGTCACCCCATGGAGGACCCCACTGGAGTCTCCGTTCTTAGGATCTGTAGGAGGCCATGACCCAGGCAGCCGCGGCTCACCCCGCATACAGGCAAAAGGAGAAAGCTCCAGCTCCAGCAACCTGAGTTCACCTTGGCCCTCCTGTGCCCAGAGGCAGGGCTCTTACAGTGAAGGGTCTGTGCCTCTTCCCCAGGCAGGCGTGTGTCTTCCTCGGCTTCCTGTGGTCCCTGTCTTGTGCTGGGGACCCCTCACAGGCCTGCTGGCCCTGGGATCCGGCTCTAGTTCAGAGGAGGCTGCCAAAAGGCAACTGGGCTGCTCTGAGCACAGGGTGAATCTAGTCAGGGGATGGGGTTGACAGCTGCTGCCTGGGATGGGGTTGACAGTTGCTGCCTGGGGTCATCTCTCTGGGGGACCCTCCACCACCAGTGTTGCTGAGTGTTTCACTCCTGGTCCCTCCGCTTTTCCCAAGAGGGATGCTCCAGTACTCCAGGGGTTTAAACTTGGCTCAAATTGCACCAGCTCCCAGGAGGACCACCAGCATGTGCAGAGGTCACCCTCTGGCTCCAATGGGGGCTCTTGTCGCCCCGCCACCCTGCCCGCACTCTGCGGTCACCTCTTCAGAGTGACCATCCCCTCTGTTGGAGTGGGCAAAGGAGACGTTGTCCTGGGGCAAGGGGTAAAGGAGACTATCTGGCCTCCTTGCGAAGTGGCCTGCGGCCCCCGCCCACCCAAGCTCCTGAGCAGTGGGTGGTGTGCGAGTCTTGCCCTGGGAGGACCCTGCTCCACCCCAGGCAAGGACCTAGCACCCCCAGCCAGGACATCCGCCTCACCTTCCCGTCCACAGAGCAGCTTCTCCAACACCATCCGCTCTTCCTGGGCCATCCTCCTGTCTCCCTCCTTCTGTGCCGATTTCTGCCTTTCGAGGCCCTGTCTGTGATTTTATAGAGTTTGGGAGAGGAGTGGGAGAGGAGCGAGAGAGGAGCAGAGAGGGAACCGGGCATTTGGGTTTTGCTGGGAGCACATGGCCGGCTCCCTTCTTTCTGCTATGTCCATCTGTTCCCTCATGGGACACACAAGCACCTTCCTGATGCCTGGGGCAGAGGTGGCTGGAGGTGGCCAGGGTTTCAGCCAGGGTCATGTGCCCATGGTGGCTGGTGAGGAGCGGTGTCTCACAGTGACCCTCCCATGCAGCAAGGGCCCCACTGTCTATGGTGGCACCTCCACAGCCGTGCATCTGACCCCTGGCCTCAGCACACATCCTGGCCATCCACATGCTCAGGGGTGCTGGGTCTCCCGCTGTGTCCCCGGGCCTAGAGCTCATGATGCTCGCAATAACGTATGAATGGGAGGAGTGAATTGGAGCCGGGGTCAGCCCAGAAGCCGGGACTGACCACCTGGAGATCAGGTTATAAAGCCACCACACAGGGATGTCATCTGAGTGTCCACTGACTCCTGGTGAGTGTTCCCACTGCCCCCGAGGCACCCTTTGTGGTCTCTGTCACAGAGAATCCAGCCTGCTCCGGGGGTGATGAAGCTGAGTTTGGGGAATGCTGTAGCCACTGTGGGCTGTCCTGGGCCTCTGGCTGGGCCCAGCGTCCTAAGCCCCACCACGCAGGGCACGTGACGTGCATTGGGTTGTGTCTCAGTCTGGTTTGTTTGGCTATAAAGGAATACCTGAGACTGGGCAATTTATAAGGAAAAGAGGTTTATTGAGCCCGCAGTGCTGCAGGCTGAGAAGTTCAAGGGTGTGGCCCTGACTCCCACTGAGGGCTTCCCAGCTGTGTCACACCACGGTGGAGAAGCTCAAAAGGGGAGAGGACACCTGCCAAGAGGGGAGATCCCGAGGGCCCAGGCCCCAAGCACCCTCTGTCTTTAGGGTCACCCTTTCAGGCAGGGTGGGGACCCCTGGGGAGGGCCGCCCACCGACCGTCCACCTTAGGGCCAGTCTCAGCCCCATGCACGATCCTCAGCATTGATTCGTACTGGTGGCTTGGAGACTGAGCTTGCGTCTAGTGAAGGGTCCTGTGTAGGCGGCCGACTCCCAGGCCCCACGCCCAGCTGGGGAGATGAGGAATGGAGGCTGCCATGGGTGTCTTCAGGGACTAGCCTGGCAAACCTGCACACTGTGCCACATGGCGCTCACAGCGCCTGGCACAGGCATCACCGCCTCCCACAGAGGCACTGAGGTCAGCGGGATTAGGCTCCATCCAGGTCAGAGGGAGAGGGGGCAGAGGCAGCTGGAACCCCCCGAGCCATGCCTCTCGAGGTCACGAGCTTTCAGCCCCCAACATAGAGAAGAGAGGCCTCCCCAACTCGTCCCCCATGCCAAAGGCCTCCAGGTGCTGGGAGAGTGACCGGGGGTGAGCCCAGGCCCCTAGACTTCCTCACTATCATGGTTGGTTGGTGCCGAGCCCTGGGTACCTGGCCCTGGTGCCAGTAAGGGCAGGAAGCCCACGGGCCTTGCCTGGACTCTGAGGAGGGGCCCTCCGCATCAACAGCTCCCCAGCCCCACAAGCTTCACTGGCTCCTCCATAACCCACTGTCATCTGCCCACCTCCTGCAGGGATGAGGCACCTGCGGGCCCTTCCCTCCGCTCTGTCACCCAGTCCCCATCGGAGCCCACCGGCTCAGCCCGCCTGCCTCCTCTGAGCTCTGCAGGCAGATCTGCCCTGCCCCCTACTCCACCTGCATGCTCCCAGGGCCTCCTTGGGAAAGCCCCACCTCGCAGCTCCCTGTGCACCTCCTGTATGGTAGGATTGTTGGGGTTCTTGTCCCTCCCTTTCCCTGAGGGTAGGGAATGTGTTTACATCATTCCGAGACTCCTGTCCCAGCAGGAGGTCAGGGACACACCCCAGGCCCCTGCAGGTGCTGCGAGCGAATACAGGAGGGGCTCAGGTCAGCAGGCTCCGCACAGCAACCAACCCAGGATCACGGGAAGGGTGTCCATGGACCCCTTGCCTCAGTTTCCATGTGCATAAGAGACTGAGGTAGCCAATGAACGCTCAGGGCCCCTTCTAAGTCCCGCCAGTGGCAACAGGGTGATGGGTGTTATTCAAGTCATCATCTCCACTATGTAAAGGTCACCCGCCACCCTCCCGTTTCCGGAATCTCCGCTGGGTGGAAACCAGCTTTCCTCCCCCCACCCTTCAAGGCTTCCTCAACTTCCAGATGGCCCCCAGGCCGTGGTCCTTTCCACAAGGAGGGACACACTCCCTGCATTAGGAGGAGGCCATCTCCCTCCAGCAGCCCCAGGTAGGGGCAGAGATAGTCATGGGTGCAGGGCCTGGCAGAGGCCGGCCCAACAGCTGAGAGGGCCCTTTCATTTTTTTGTGGTTTTTTTTTTTTTTTTGAGACAGTCTCGCTCTGTCGTCAGGCTGGAGTGCAGTGGTACAATCTTGGCTCACTGCAACCACCACCTCCTGGGTTCAAGAGATTCTCCTGCCTCAACCTCCCAAGTAGCTGGGTCTACAGGCGCGTGCCACCATGCCCAGCTAATTTTTGTATTTTTAGTAGAGATGGGGTTTCACCATGTTGGCCAGGATGGTCTCTATCTCTTGACCTCGTGATCCGCCTGCCTCGGCCTCCCAAAGTGTTGGGATTACAGGCGTGAGCCACCGTGCCCAGCTGAGAGGGCCCTTTCTTAGGATCACCGCTGCCAGAGGACACAGCCATGGCAGCCATCAGGCCTGCTGCAAACAGAGCTGGCACTGAAGGTTTTCAAGCCCTCCCATGACAGAGTGCACAGTGGTCGAGGGTTCAGGTCACCCCCACCAACCTTGGGGCCAGAGGGGATGGCCTGACAGCCACCCCCAGACCTGGCCGCAGGATTCTGGCAGCAGCCTCTCCTCAGTGAAACCAGCAGACGAGCCAAGGGCCGTCCCAGTCACCAGCAGTTTTGGGTCCCATGCACACTTGGGTCCCTTGTGCACCTGTTGGGGAGGGGCATGCACAACTGAGTCCCATGCATACCTGGGTTCCATGCACACCTAAGTCCCATGCACATCTGAGTCCCATGCACACCTGGGTCCCATGCACACCGGGGTTCCATGCACACCTAAGTCCCATGCACACCTGGGTCCCATGCACACATGCACACCTGGGTCCCATGCACACCTGGGTTCCATGCACACCTAAGTCCCATGCATACCTGGGTCCCATGCATACCTGGGTTCCATGCACACCTAAGTCCCATGCACAACTGGGTCCCATGCACACCTGGGTCCCATGCATACCTGGGTTCCATGCACACATGCACACCTGGGTCCCAAGCACACATGCACACCTGGGTCCCATGCACACCTGGGTTCCATGCACACATACACACCTGGATCCTATGGACACCTGGGTCCCAGGTGCACCTAAGTCCCATGCACACCTGGGTCCCAGGCACACCTGAGTCCCATGCACACATGCACACCTGGGTTCCAGGCACACATGCACACCTGGGTCCCAGGCACACCTGGGCAAGCTGCTGGCTGCAGTGCAGGCAGTGATGACAATTCTCCTAACCAAAGACCCGCTGGCACCAGCCTCGTACTTGATGATCCTTCAACTCTTTGCTGAGCACCTTCCATGCACGGCCCTCGGGGGAAAAGCCCTTGATGGAAGGGAGGTGGGCGCTAGAGACACAGGTGAGGAAGCCAAGCCTGTTCAGTAGCGATGGAGCTACAGGGAAAATAAAGCGGGAGCCCTGGGCATGGTGGTTTAAATAGGGAGGTCCTGCAGGAAGGTCCTGACATGCTGCTTTTGGGCAAAGACCTTCAGGCTTGGAGTGGCATGAAGCCTGGGGTCTGCACGTCGGGGAGCTGCTGCCTCTGAGACAGACCCCAAGCAGAATCAGATTCGGGGTCCCAGATCCCCAACCCGCCACTGACGGTGACTCCCAGGCCAGGAGTGAAACCCACGCTCTCATTGCCTTGATTTCTCAGGGGGCTTCATGAATATTTTGGTGTCTGGGGCACCTGTGGACAGTGGAGGAGGGGTGAGGTTGGCCCTGTGTGAGGAGGAGTCCAGGAGAAACCTGCGGTTACGCAGCCACCTTGGCCTGCCTGACAGTCAGGTTCCGCCTGAGGCCACAGTGAGATTGTGGTACGGGACCTTCCTGCTCGGTGATCCTCTGGAGGTCAGCTAGATGTCCTCTAGAAAGTCCGGCAAGGCCTGGAGTTGAGTGGCCCTGGCTAGTGTCCCAGGACCGGCCCGGGCCTCCCGTGGAGGAAAGGGTGTCCAGGAGGGGAGTCGGGGCAGGGACATACAGGGCATCTCCGACCTGGAGGAGGTCCCCCCGCTGCAGAGGTCTCTGGGGATGAAAGCGGGGAGTCCCTGTCTTGACCACACCTGAACCCTACAGGAGGCTTCAAGGGCAGGTGGGCGGTGGGCTGAGGGGGTGCTGAGTCTTTGGCCTCTGAGGCGGTGCCCCATCTGTGCGGCACTGGGGGGCTTCAGATCAGCCTCCTGGCAGCCCTCCCTGCTGACCCCTCAAAGCTGTCCAACCTCGGGGGTGGGGGTCCCGAGCCCCCTTCTCTAGAAGCCCCTTGGCCCTTCCTGGACTGAGGAGCAACTTGCGGCTCTCCCGGCCCTGCCCTGTGTGTGACGGGAGGGGGACTTTGCCTCAGTTTTGTGCAGGATGGGTCACACCTGCGTCCAGAGAGAATGGGGCTGAGCTCTGCCCCGTTGACAATTATGCCCCAAAAGGACGCTGAGAATGTGCGAGTGTCTCTCCTAAAAGTGCTACCCTTTCCCTCGGCCGGGAGGGAGGGGGGCAGGCCAGGACTTGGAGGTACCGTGTGGGCAAGAGGGTTGTTGTCATAGCTCCTGGGTGGCGGGAGCAGGAAAGCTGGAGCCCAGTAGGAAGCAGTCCCCAGGTTCCCACCGGCTGATTCTAGGGTGAGGGCGAGTGGGCGCAGAGGAAGTGCCAGCCCTTCTGGGGAGCCCCCGAGGCTGTAGCAGGGCCAGCTGGAAACCACCCCTCAGTGAACACACAGCCTGTGCCTTCTGGGGCTGGGAGGTCAGGGCACCTCTGCCCAGAGGGCTCCTAAGCTGCCTGGGGAGCATCTCCTGCTGGTCACGAAACCCCAGGGAGCCCTGGGCCCCACCCGGCAGGCACAGAGAGCGCTTTGCCACCCAAGACCGAGTTGTCTCCTTCTAACACCACGGTGCACCCCCAGAGGCTGCAGTCAGGAGGGGACAGGGCAGAGGTGTTGTCCCCAAGCACCCTTGCTCCACAGGGCTGGAAAAGAACAGAACTGTCTGGAGTTACTGGTAGTTGCCTTGAGGGGCGATGAGGGAGGGCACATCGCCTGCCCTGTGGCAGAGAAGAGGCAGGCGCCGGGGCCTTCTGGAAGGCGGTGGGGGTCTCGTTAACCCTCCCAGAAGCAGCAGCTTTCCCACTGTGCAAGTACAGGCCCCCCAGGACCTGCCAGAGGCACCAAAACCACGGGTCTCCGTGTGTGTGTGTGTGCATGCTGTGTGCACGTGTATGCATGTGTGTGCCTACGTGTGTGCCTGTGTGTGCCTATGTGTGCTATGTGCATGTGTGTGGTGTGTGCCTGTGTACAGGCCTGTCCCTTAGCAATTGTTGCAGGCCCCATTCCCCCGGGAGACAAGCACTCCTCCCTGCAGCTGTCACCTCACACCCCAGGGCCAGCAGGATGTCTCAGCCCCCTCACCACCCTGCTTCGGTCTCCCGGTCTGTCAACTGGGGCCATTCGATGAGCCTCACCTGAGGTCTCTGCAGACGGCCTGTCCAGGTGGCAGGTGACGAATGCCCGGACACTGGTGGAATCCTATTCCCGGCCCTCCCAGGACTCACTCCAACTCCACAGGCCTTGGGTTGGGGCCCAGACACCTGCCCCTCCTCAAGCTTTCAGGGAAGCTGAGGCGGCCTGGTCTTTGCAGGCAGGTGCAGTGCCATAGTGCACAGCACCCCACCATGACCAGCAGCTGAAACCCCCTTTCCAGCCGCCAAGGCCACCCCACCCGACTTCTCACGGTGTGGCCTCCTGCGGTGTTTCGGTTTTGTGTAAATGGGGTCCCCGCTGCCCCCTCCCATGCTCCTGCACTGGGCCATGCCGAGCAGTGTGTGGTCAGGGCTGTCCCGCCTGGGTGGGTGTTTGGGGGTTTCCGGTGTGGGCTGTGTGGGCCGGAGCTGCCGAGAGCGGGCTTCTGATTTCTGGTTCACGGATGTGCTGCCGGGCCCCAAGGGTGTGTTAGTTCTGCGTTAGCCAAAGCACCAAGACGATGATGTCCCCAGCCGGACTAAGAAGCACGGGGAATGGGTGTCCATAAAGAAGGAGCCGTGCCTGGGCAGAGGGCTGTGCTCGCCCAAGGACAGCGACCCGCGCTCCCCACTTCCTCTCTGGGGACTGGGGGTGGAGGTGCCCCAGAGGCCCCACCAAAGGCAGCCTGAACGGGCCTCCTGAGCCAATGCAGGGCCCCAGGATACTGCTCGGCAGGGCCCTGGAATCGCTTCCCCAGCCCGCCTGCACTTGGCCAGACAAACTGTGTGTTCGTTTGCCTGTTTGTGTGCTTTTGTGGGTGCCAAGCTAGAAGCCACTGAATCTGATCTGTCCCAAGCCACTTGAGCAGCCATTCCTGACACGCGCCACACTGGGCACTGCCCTGGACACCTGCGGGGTCAGAAAGGAGGAACCAGACGCCCGGACCTGCCCCCTAGACCCATGGCCTGGCCCGAGGGAGAGGTGCATGGCTGGCACAGATGCACGGACCTGCCCCCTGGACCTATGGCCTGGCCAGAGGGAGAGGTGCACGGCTGGCACGGACACACAGACTTGCCCCCTGGACCCATGGCCTGGCCCGAGGGAGAAGTGCACGGCTCGCATGGAAGGCCACACATTCCCATCTTGAGGGCAAAGACACCAGGTGTGTGGCAAGGCAGGTGGTCACTCGAGGACACTGCAGAAGCTGCCGGCACTCCCTGGGGCCCTATAAGCAGAAACCCTGCCCAGGGACCTCCTATGGGCTCCAGCTCACATTAATTTCTAGACAGTTCCATTGCGGCTTCGGTGCTTGGTTGGTTTGTCTCCCTGTGGTGAGCACTTTGCCCAGCACTGGAGAAGTTCATGGGCCACTCGCACCTGCCTCTGCTCGCTGAAGGCCTTTTTCCCCAGAGGAAGAGACGCCTCGCTCTCCACAGCTTTCCACTTCAGAGGTCCTTGGAGACTCCACAGGAAATCCCACCAGGAATTTGGGGGTGGAGGCAGCTCTGTTCCCCTGCACCCCAGCTCTGGGCCAGCCCCTTGGCAAGGCCCCTTGGGGGACCCACGTAGAGGGCAGGGGGACCAGGAGCACCCAGCGTCCCAGAGCAGCCCCTCCTCTGGAGAAGCCATGACTGGCTGAAGTTAAGGGGCCTTAAGAAAACAAGCTCTGTGGACCTTAAATGTTTGCTGCTGTCCGAGAGGAGAGTGGAGCACCAGAAGCCATAGACGTCGGTCGGGAGGAGCTGGGTGTCCCTCCCCAGCCCCAAGCCACCAGGGATGCCGAGGAGAACACAGGCTAGGAGAAGCCCCCTCCCCACCCTCTGCCTGGCTCCAGCTTCCGGGAGACGCCCACCCCCTCTTCTCTCCTTCTCCTTCCATCCTTCCGGAGGCTTCCCGGACTTCCCTGCTCTACCACACACACTGTTGGCCAAAATTTACTTTTAAGTATTGATAGAAAAGTCTCTTACTGATAGTATCGTGTGTATTTTTGGGATAATTGAATTCCGCGAGGTGCTTTGTTTTGTTTTTACATGAGCTAGTGGGTCTGGAAGAACCTTCCACAGAGGAGCCCCCGGCTCTGCTCCCAAGCCCTGTCTCTTCCTAACTCCTCGGACTTGAAACTGCCCGGACACGACCTCTGACCCTGCAGGTGTGCAGGGGCAGTTTCCCGGAAGCCATTCCTGTTCTGGACAGCTGTGAGGTACCCATAAGTGACCATGAGCCATCTGCACAGTCATCCCATAACCCCAACTAGATACAGTTTGGGTATCTGTGCCCCCCAAACTGTGCCAACAAGGGGAGGGTGCCTGGGGTGGGGAGAGAGGCTGCCGGGTAGAGAGCGTCAGGTGGGAAACAGGACTGGGCTACACACTTTTGTGGAGTTTGCACCACTCACACCACTCACACCAGCTGCCAGAACACTTCCTGTCCAGGGCCCAGCGCCTCTGGCAGGTGGGAGCCCCATTCAGTGACCGTGGCCCCGCCCCCCCTCCCCCGAGCCTCCAAAGAAAGGAGCCGTTGTTTATCCAGCAACAAGCCGTGTGGATAGTGAGGATCCCGGGAGGGGACAAGGAGCAACTGAACACTGGCTCCATGGGACAAAGGCACCGGCTCTCAGTCTCCAGAGTGTGGTCCCCTGGCTTGTTGAGAAACCCCGCGGGACTGGGGAGGGGGAAGGGGGCAGGGGGCAGAGCAGGTGTGACTAGGACCCAATAGCCAGCGTATGTGTGGCTGGTGCAGTGCTACTTCCGTCCCCCTCCTGAGCCCCCCTTGAATCAAATGGCACCGTCACCCCTGCAGAGCGCGAGAAGCCACCCGCCCGGGAGCTGCTAAACGTCATTAAGTCCCTACGGTGACGGTGACGCAGGCACTGAAAGCTCTGAGAAATAGGCCGGCAGAGGGAGGGAGGGAGGGATCCAGGATGCCAGGCCTTTGTGTCCCCGTCACGCCAGGCTCAGGGACGTCGGGGACATCGTCTGAGCCAGGAAAGAAGGAGGCTGGGGGCTGGGCCCAGGGCAGGGGCCCTGTGTGTATAGGAAGGGAAGCCCCGGGCAGGGAGCCCAGCCCTCCGAACGCAGCCTGCTAAGGGCACCGGGAATTAAGACGTGAAAGGCACACAGCAGAACGCGCGTGGGCCTCGAAAGGCTCCCTCGGAGCTCTTCATGGGCTGGCCCCAGGAGTGTTAGCGAGAGTGCCCACTGTTCCCACCCACGGACCCCCGGGCCCCAGCAGCTACAGCCCGAGCCTTGTTCCTGAGGCCCCGCGCAGTAGGAGAGGAGAGAGCGCCACCCAGAACGGACCTCAGAGAGGGTCCCTCCAGAGGGCACGGGCCCACCCTCCTCTGTCCTTTCCTTGCTGGGCATGACACAGGGAATAAAGTAACTCCGGATAGTCCTTTCCTGGGGTTTAAGGCAATTTTTTTTTTTTTTGAGACGGAGTTTCGCTCTGTCGCCCAGGCTGGAGGGCAATGGCGTGATCTCAGCTCACTGCAAACTCCGCCTCCCGGGTTCAAGCAATTCTCCTGCCTCAGCCTCTCGAGTAGCTGGGATTACAGGCATGCACCACCACGCCTGGCTAATTTTGTATTTTTAGTAGACGGGGCTTCTCCATGTTGGTCAGGCTGGTCTCAAACTCCCGACCTCAGGTGATCTGCCTGCCTCAGCCTTCCAAAGTGCTGGGATTACAGACATGACCCACTGCACCTGGCCAAGGCCAATTTTTAGATACCCATTTTAGACACCCATCCCAGGCTGTGTTCAGGAAAAAGTGAGGTGGGGTGTCAGGAGCTGTGTGAGCCTTGTGGTGCTGAGTGGCCATGGGCAAGCCCCTGCCCTCTGGGCCTCGGCTGGGACACAGGTGTCCCTCCCCTGGCTGGAATCATGCCCAGCATGGGCCCATCCGGCTCCGCCCTGCCCCCCGGCCTCACCTGAGCTCACCACACACAGGCCCATCAGGGAAGCGGGACTGGGCACTCCCTGGCACCCCCGAGAGCCGGGGCCAGGCAGAGAGGCCACACAGGCCCACCTGTGCCCAGGTAGGCAGGTCCCGTAGAACCTGGACAGGTGCATGACCTGGGCAGGGGTGACAGCAGAAACACAGCTCCTCATTAAAGAGAAAACCTCATCCTGGATGTGTGCGTGGGTGTGAGTGTGCTTACTTGTGAGTGTATGGGAGAATGTGTGTGTGGGTGTGAATGGGTGTGATGTCAGCGAGGGTGTATTTTGACAGAGAGTGCTGCTAGGTGTGTGAGTGTATGTATGAAATCACCTCTAATTGTGCATATGACTGCTGTGAGATGATGTTGGGTGTCTGATGGGTGTGTGGTGTGTGCGAGATGATGTGTGGGTGTCTGGTGAGTGTGTAGTGTGTGTGAGATGATGTTGGGTGTCTGATGGGTGTGTGGTGTGTGTGAGATGATGTGTGGGTGTCTGGTGAGTGTGTGGTGTGTGAGATGATGTGTGGGTGTCTGATGGGTGTGTGGTGTGTGTGAGATGGTGTGTGGGTGTCTGATGAGGGAGTGTGTGCTGTGTGTAACCATGTGTCTCTGGTATGTGTGTTATGTATGTGAGTGTGTGGGGAGGTTATGTCTTTGTGGTGTGTATTGTGTGTACCCATGTTGTGTGTGTTTCTCTGTGTGTCCATGGTGTGTTCACAACGTGTACCAGTGGTGTGTGTGTCCATGGTGTGTGTGTGTGTGGTGTGTGTCCCTGGTGTGTGTGGTGTGCGTCCCTGGTGTTTGTGTGTCCCTGATGTGTGTGCATCCCTGGTGTGTGTATGGGTCCCTGGTGTGTGTGCTGTGCGTCCCTGGTGTGTGTGCATCCCTTGTGTGTCTGTCCCTGGTGTGTGTCCCTGGTGTGTGTGGTGTGTGTCCCTGGTGTGTGTGTGGTGTGTGTGTCCCTGGTGTGTGTGTGTCCCTGGTGTGTGTGTTTGCGGGGGTCCCTGGTGTGTGTGGTGTGCGTCCCTGGAGTGTGTGTGGGTCCCTGGTGTGTGTGTGGGTCCCTGGTGTGTGTGGTATGCATCCCTGGTGTGTGTGTGGTGTGCATCCCCGGTGTGTGTGTGTGTGTCCCTGGTGTGTGCAGGGGTCCCTGGTGTGTGTGGTGTGCGTCCCTGGTGTGTGTGGGTGTCCCTGGTGTGTGTGGTGTGCGTCCGTGGTGTGTGTGGGTGTCCCTGGTGTGTGTGGTGTGCGTCCCTGGTGTGTGTGGTGTGTGTCCCTGGTGTGTGTGTGTCTGTCCCTGACGTGTGTGTGTATCTGTGCACACGGCTGCCCACCCACAGGCTGTCCTGGCCAGGTGCCTGGTTCTCCCAGGCCCTGCAGAACACTCTGTGCGGAGTGGGCCCAGGAGGTGGGATTCCTGCAGAGCCGGTCCCTCTGGCCCTCGGGGTCTGCGCATCTTGGACAGTGTCCTGTGGGCTGCTCTGAGCCCAGGCACTGCTTGCAGGGCAGATGGGACACCGGCTGGAGGATGCCCACAGCCCATGGGCTGGTTGCTGCTGTCTCCCGCCTGCCTGCCAGGGGCACAGCCGGGGGTTTAGGGTGCAGCCTCCGGCCCGCTGGCTCAAGTTTCCAGAAGAGTCTGCCACAGACAGATCTCATGTAGCAAAGGGCAGAGGCCAGAGGTGGACTCCACACGGGCCTGCAATGGGTGACTGTGGGCAAGTCACCAAACCACGCAGGGCCTCCTGGTCACCGACCAGTCACCACCCCTGTCCCAGGGTAGGTGATGAGACAAAGCCCTTCCCTTGGCCCTGGCAGAGAAGTGAGGAGCAGCCGCTCTGCCTTAGTTTATAAAATGGGAAGAACAAGTCCCTGAGGGTCAACGTTTGGGGGACCCTGCAGAGACTGGGCACAAAGTGTCCTGCACATCTAGGATCAGGCAGGTGATGCTCAGACAAGTTCCAAACACATGGGGAACCAAAATGTGGTTGCCCCAAAATGTGGTTTTGGGGACCCCAACACCTGGGGTGGGTGGGCACAGCGTGCTCCTGTGTTGCTGAGAGCCAGAGAGGAAGTCTCCAACCCCACAGGGCTTTCCTGATCCGGGCATCTCGGCCCGGGGCCTGGCTGCTGGGCGGGCCCCAGGAGTGCCCCCATGGAGGGCCTTCTGGGATGACATTGGCCTGTGGCCACTTCTGCAGCCCCAGCCCAGCCTTCAGGTCTCTCCTGCTTCAGAAGCCCTTGGCCATCCCCAGGCACCTCCCGGACATTGCCCAGAGCGGCGGCCCTAAGACGACAAGAGCTGTGATGCCCCGTTGGTGCCGCTAGGACTGCCCAGCCCTCCTGCTGCTCCGTGGACCTCCGGGGTCTGGGATGGGTGGGTGGGGCCCTTCCTGGTGACTGGCGTTTACTGGGCTTCTGTGGGGCCACCAAGCACCGACACAGGGTCAGAGTGAGGAGCGAAAGCCCTGACGCCTGCCCTCATGGGGAGTCGGTCTCCTCTGGACACGGCCTTGTTCCAGTGACCACAGAGGCTGGCGAGTGCCACGTGGTCCCCACTGCATCACACACCTCCCACGCCCTGCCCGGCGTCAGGGACAGGAGGCTCAGGGAAGCGAAGGACACTGCCCAGGGGCACGGGGCTGGCCAGGGCTCGCCCAGGCCTGCCTGCCCCAAAGCCCAGCTCCTCTCTCCACCCGGCTCCTAGCTTTGTCCCAAAAAGCCGGAAGGACCAGACACTTGGTTTGGGGCAAAACTTAAGTGGGAGGGTGCTAAAAAAAAATCAAGATCAATAACATTTTAGTGTAATACTTTTAAAAATTAAAATTAATGCACAATTCATGATGAACGAAATGTCAAACTTCTAAACAAGTCAAGGCCCGCCTCTGTGTGGCACAGCCCTGGGGGCGAGTGCTCAGCCCACCCCAAACCCCTGGGCCGGGCTCCAGGGAAATGCTGCCAGCTTCCCACTTCCAGCAGAGCCAGCCCCTCAGCTGTGAGACGGTTTCCACAGCGACCAGCCCAGGTAGCGGGGAGGCTCTCCAGTTCAGGGGATGCTAGGAGACACTGGGAAGGGGGATCCCTGCTGGGAAGAGCCAGGAAGGGGCTCCACAATTCCTCTGGAGGAAGCACGACCTCCAAGGATGAGGAGAGGAAATCCCTCCAGCCCAGGAATTTCCCAAGCCAGAGCTCTCTGCCTCATGAGAATGGAGCCACCGTCCCCAGCGCCAAGGGAGGCTGCTCCCTCCCTTCCTCCTTCCCTCCCTTCCTCCCTCCCTCCCTCCCTTCCTCCTCCCTGTCCTTGCCCCCCGGGAGCCTAAGAGCTCGCTACCTGGGGTGAATGCCCAGTAGACCGTGCAGTTCTGATTTTCTCACACACTGCACTTTTGGATGATTACTTATGGATGCTAGCCATTACGAAGGAAGCAAAAAGCCGTGTGCAGTGCAGGACTGAGTTTGCTTGATTAAAAGGCCTCGCCAGTTGCTGACGCCCTGGGGTTGCGTCTGAGGGGCGGTGAACGTGGCCTCCAGATTTCTCTTGCTGCGAGGCTTGGGCACATCCCGATGGCAGTTGGCTGTGGGGTGAACGGGGAGTGCCAGGCAGGAGGCAGGGGCCTGGCAGGAAATAGATGTTACATGCAAATTGAATCACTTAAGGAGCATTTAATAAAGGAATTACAAGAACAGGACAGACTTGGGAAACCAGGAGGGATGGGTGCTCAAGGGGCAGCCCGGGCAGGAGAACCGCGTCTTCCCAAGGCCTGGAGAGGGAGGGCAGGAGCCAGTGCCGACCCAAGCCTTGTAGCTGTCGGTAAGAAGGCCTGGACAGGAGCCGCTCCCCACCCCTGACACACACAAAGGACACAGTGAGTCCCAAGCCCTTGGAGGGCAGTGGAAACGCCCCCTTAACAGGCAACGTTCTTCCGAGAAACAGAACCAGGGGGATTTGTCCCGGCTTTCCTGACATGAAAAAAACAATAGGCGGTTCATATACACGTATATATATTTAGACAATAGGCGGTTTACATACACATATATATGTTTAGAGAACAGACGGTTTACATACACGGATATACGTTTAGACAACAGGCAGTTTACATACACGGATATATGTTTAGAGAACAGGCGGTTTACATACACGGATATACGTTTAGAGAACAGGCGGTTTACATACACGGATATACGTTTAGAGAACAGGCGGTTTACATACACGGATATACGTTTAGACAACAGGCGGTTTACATACACGGATATACGTTTAGAGAACAGGCGGTTTACATACACGGATATATGTTTAGACAACAACAGGCGGTTTACATACACGGATATATGTTTAGACAACAGGCGGTTTACATACACGGATATATGTTTAGACAACAGGCGGTTTACATACACGGATATATGTTTAGACAACAGGCGGTTTACATACACGGATATATGTTTAGACAACAGGCGGTTTACATACACGGATATATGTTTAGACAACAGGCGGTTTACATACACGGATATATGTTTAGACAACAGGCGGTTTACCTAGACGGATATATGTTTAGAGATTTATTTTAAGGCATTGGATCCCGCAATCATGGGGGTTCAAAACCTGCAGGGCAGGCGGCAGGCAGGAGACACGCAGTAGGGCACGTCACCGTCTTGAGGCAGGTGTTCTCAGTGAAACCTCGGTTTTCACTCTTAAGGGCTTCCTTTGAAGGGATGAGTCCCTCCCAGAAAAATCGAGGCTAATCTCCTTCAGATCATCTGATTGTGGATATTGAGCTCCTCTGCAGGACACCTTCCCAGCTACACCTGGGCTCATGTTTGAGCACTTAGGTACTGTGGCCTGGCCAGGATTACAGGTAATGCAAACCTCATCCTCCCCATTTTGCCTCTCCCATCCTGGGCTTCTCTGCCAGGGCTTCCTAAGGGCTGAGCCAGAGGCGGAGAGGGCCTTGGGGGCATGCAGAGAGCTCAGCAGAGCAAGAAGAGGTCAGCCAGGCTGGGGGTCCCGGCGACTCAGGCAGGAGCCTGACGTTTAATTCCAGGTCTGCAGGAAACCATCTTGAGCTCCAGGTGGGAGAGGGTTCCCTGTGATCAGATTCTGAGCCTCGGGCGGGAGAGCGTTCCCTGTGATCAGATTCTGAGCCCCAGGCGGGAAAGGGTTCCCTGTGATCAGATTCTGAGCCCCGGGCGGGAGAGGGTTCCCTGTGATCAGATTCCACAAAAGAAGAGCTTCTTCCTTCCCCTCCCATTCCCAGTCACCCATGAGACCCGTGGCTACCTGGTGGTGGCATGTGGGGCAAACGCCTGTGTTGACCACCTGGGAGGTTTGGTTTCCTCCACTAGAAAACTGGAGAGCTGAAAACATGTCCTTGTAGAACATGTGAAATGACCTCCTGGGGTGCCTGACGCTGCCCGTGCGGGCTCTGGCGATGCCTCAGTGGCTTCCTAAGACACCCTCCTTCACCCCGTACAGTCTCCGGTGCAGAGATGGACGAGCTGGGGGACTCAGGCAATTTCCCCCACAAAGTGTTGCAATGGATTGAGAACGCCTCCCGGAGTGTCTGAGGCCACCTGCATTTTCAGAAGAAAGTTCCACTTTCTTCAGAACAGATAACGTGGTGCTTTGACTGCCATTGTTATCTGCTGCACCGAGTCAGGAGAGGCTGGGCCGTGACGTGACGCAGTAACAAGCAAACCTCCAAAATCTCACAGCTTAATCGCGCTACAGCGTATTTCTCTCTAGGGCAAGCAGCACACGGATTGTCAGGGCCCTCCTCCAGGGTCACTGGGGGGCCGGGTTCCCCATCTCCTAGTGCCGCCCTCACAGACATGCCTCCAGGGTCCCACGGCAGAGAGGGGCCTGTGGAGGAGGCATGCAACCTCTGAGTGTGTTGGCAAGCCGACTCATGGTCCTTCTGCTCAGAGCCCATTGGCCATGGCTGGTCACATGGTCCCAACCTCACCTCGAGGGACGCTGGGCCTGAAGGAAAACACACAGAATATTTAGAGAATTCTCCTGCCCTTCCTCTATGGAAATGTGGGACAGCTGGGCATGTCTAAAATTAATTGGTTTTTAAGAATGTTCAGTAAGATCCCATCCTGGGAAGAAAACCCTATTTAAAAATATATCATATAGAATATATAAAACATATACACATACAGATATAGACTGTGTGTGTTTTCTATTTCCATGTAGCAAATTACCCCAAAACTGAGCAGTGTAAAACAACAAACCTTCATTATCTTACAGTTTCAGAGGCTCCAGGATTTGGAAGAAGCCCAGTGGGGTGGCTGTGGCTCAGGATCTGGCACGAGGTTGCCGCCAGGACGGCAACACCTGCACGTGCGACTGGGCTGGGGGATCCGTTTCCAAGGAAGCTTGCTCACATGGCTGCTGGGGAGAGGCCTCCAGTCCTCACAAGGCCATTGGTGGAGGCTGCAGCTCCTCACAGGCTATTGGCGGGAGGCCTCAGTCCCTGGCCTCATAGGCTTCTCCACAAGGCTGCTTGAGCATTCTCCTAACATGGCGACTGTCTTCCCCCAGAGTGACCCCAGGGAGAGCAAGGTGGGATCCACAAAGCCATTTGTGAACTAGGCTTGGACATCACTCACTGTCACACAGGCCAACTCTGATACAATGATACCAGGACGCTGTGATGGCCAATTTCATGTGTCACCTTGACTGGGAAGAGGTGGCGAGATATTTGGCCGCATGTTCTCTAGGGTATCTGTGAGCTGTCTCTGGGTGAGATCAGCATTTGAGTTGAAGGACTGAGGAAAGTCCATGGCTGTCCCCTGCGTGGGCGGGCATCCTCCAATCCCTTGAAGGCCTGAGCAGAACAAAAGGCTGAGGGAGGGAGAGCCCACTTTCTCTGCCTGAAGGTCTTCAAGCTGATGGGATCTTGTCCAGCCTTCAGATTTGAACTCGGCTGCATCATCAGCTCTCCTGGGTCTCAGGCCTTCAGACTCAGATGGTGACATAGGCCCTCCTCCGTCTCCAGGTGGCAGGTCTCAGGACATCTCAGCTTCTGTAATCACATGAGCCAGTTCCCTGGAATAAATAAACCCGTCTCCTACTGCTTCTGTTTCTCCGGAGAACCCTGATGAATACAGCTATGGAGGCTGGCGGGGAAGACCCCAGAGACATCCTGGAGGCTCCCACAGAGAGAGGGGGGTGGTGCAGGGTTTTATTTCCAGTAGGAATTTTACTAGAGCAGCGGAATTGATGACTAAGGTCCACAGATGAAAATGACAGAGGTTCCAAGCAACCCCCAACACCACCCAGCACAATCTCCACATTCTAAGAAACTCATTAGACCCAGACACACAGCCTGCAGGGCTGAGCAGGACTGACCCGCCAGTCACCCAGCCGCAGCCCCAGCCTCTGTGTGGGGATAGGGAGGTCGGAGTCATCAGAGCTGGTGGCTCATCAGGGTACCAGCCCAGAGGGTGGAGGGGAGCGAGCAGGAGAGCACGCACACCTCTGTCCCCACCCCAAGTCTGGAGAGACAGCAGCCTCACCCCGGGGCAGGGGAGCATGAGCAGGACAGAAGATTCGAGCTTTCAGCTGGGCTGGGCTGCATTTCCACAGTTAAAAGTGAGCAGACGGCCGGGTGCGGTGGCTCAACGCACTCTGGGAGACCAAGGCGGGTGGATCACAAGGTCAGTAGTTCAAGACCAGCCTGGCCCACGTGGCGAAACCCTGTCTCTACCAAAAATACAAAACATTAGCCAGGTGTGGTGGTGGGTGCCTGTAGTCCCAGCTGCTTGGGAGGCTGAGGCAGGAGAATTGCTTGAACCCAGGAGACGGAGGTTGCAGTGAGCCGAGATCACACCACTGTACTCCAGCCTAGGCAACAAAGCAAGACTCTATCTAAAAAAAAAAAAAAAAGAAAAAGAAAGTGAGCAGACTCAGGGGAGTCTGTCCCAGGGGCTGTAAGGGACAAGGAGGGGAGTATGACGGGGCTGGCTGAAAGCTGCGATTGGCCAAAAGAAAGTAGTCTGTACTCATCCCAGGGCTGAGGCTGGGCCAGCAATAGTATGTAGACAGCACGGCCCAGGCAGGTGACGGTGTGTAGACAGCACGGCCCAGGCAGGTGACGGTGTGTAGACAGCACGGCCCAGGCAGGTGACGGTGTGTAGACAGCACGGCCCAGGCAGGTGATGGTGTGTAGACAGCACGGCCCAGGCCGGTGTCGGTGTGTAGACAGCACGGCCCAGGCAGGTGACGGTGTGTAGACAGCACGGCCCAGGCCGGTGTAGACAGCACGGCCCAGGCCGGTGTCAGTGTGTAGACAGCACAGCCCAGGCAGGTGACGGTGTGTAGACAGCACGGCCCAGGCAGGTGACGGTGTGTAGACAGCACGGCCCAGGCAGGTGACGGTGTGTAGACAGCACGGCCCAGGCAGGTGACGGTGTCTAGACAGCACGGCCCAGGCAGGTGACGGTGTGTAGACAGCACGGCCCAGGCAGGTGACGGTGTGTAGACAGCACGGCCCAGGCAGGTGACGGTGTGTAGACAGCACGGCCCAGGCAGGTGACGGTGTGTAGACAGCACGGCCCAGGCAGGTGACGGTGTGTAGACAGCACGGCCCAGGCAGGTGACGGTGTGTAGACAGCACGGCCCAGGCCGGTGTAGACAGCACGGCCCAGGCCGGTGTCAGTGTGTAGACAGCACAGCCCAGGCAGGTGACGGTGTGTAGACAGCACGGCCCAGGCAGGTGACGGTGTGTAGACAGCACGGCCCAGGCCGGTGTCGGTGTGTAGACAGCACGGCCCAGGCAGGTGACGGTGTGTAGACAGCACAGCCCAGGCCGGTGTAGACAGCACAGCCCAGGCCGGTGTAGACAGCACGGATGCAGCCGGGCTCCAGCTGCTCGGCCATGTCCGTGGCCTGCAGAATTCTAAGAAAAACAATGACAGGTAGTGTGTGTGTTCATCCATTCTCGCATTATATAAAGAAATACACAAGGCCGGGTGCGGTGGCTCACGCCTGTAATCCCAGCACTTTGGGAGGCCAAGGCAGCCGGATCATGAGGTCAGGAGATCCAGACCATCCTGGCCAACATGGTGAAACCCCATCTCTACTAAAAATACAAAAAAAAAAATTAGTTGGGTGTGCTGGTGTGCACCTGTAGTCCCAGCTACTTGGGAGGCTGAGGCAGAAGAATCACTTGAACCTGGAAGGCGGAGGTTGCAGTGAGCTGAGATTGCACCACTGCACTCCAGTCTGGCAACAGAGTGAGACTCCATCTCAAAAAAAAAAGGAAGGAAGGAAGGAAAGATGGAAGAGAGAGAGAGAAAGAAAGAGAAGGAAGGAAGGAAGAAGGAAGAAAGGAAGGAAAGAAAGAAAGAGAGAGGGGGAAGGAAGGAAAGAAGAAAGAAAAAAAGAAAGAAAGAAAGAAAGAAAGAAAGAAAGAGAAAGAAAGAAAAGAAAGAATGAAAGACAGACAGACATGAGACTGGGTAATTTGTAAGGAAAGAGGTTGAATTGGCTCATGGTTCTGCTGGCTGTACAGGAAGCATAGCAGCATCAGCTTCTGAGGAGGCCTCAGGAAGCTTCCAATCATGGCAGGAGGCAACAGGGGAGCAGGTGTGTCTTCCATGGCCAGAGCAGGAGGAAGAGAGAAGAGAGAGTGGGGGCAAGGTGCACATGCTTTAAAATGACCAGATCTCACGAGAACTCACTGTTGTGAGGACAGTACCAAGGGGATGGTCCTAAACCATTCATGAGAAATCCACCCCCATGAGCCAACCGCCTCTCACCAGGCCCCACCTCCAACACTGGGAATGACAATTCTGCATAAAGTTTGGGTGAGACAGAGCCAAACCTTGTCAGTGTGCATGTATTTGTCTGATTTAAGGAGCTAATTTATAGCCCAGTAAATAAAAAGAGAAGATGAAGAAAGGAGTTAGGAAGGGAAACGTTCAGACAGAGTGAGCTAGAAACCCGTCCGACTACTGCAAACTGGGGTTGGTGCTGTTTCCCCACAATTAAGAGTAGGTGGGGCCTAGGGTGTCTTTGCAATCCTGTCGCTGCAGCTCCTCGTGGGGTGGGGGCAGGCTCAGTAGCCCCTGCTGAGCAGAGGGCCTCTCCAGGCCCTCAGGGACAGAGGGCCTTGGGAGGATGCACCCCCAGCCAGTGCAGGGAGGCTGAGGAAGCTCCCACTCAATGGCAACCACATTCATTTGGCCTCACAGTCCACCCCGGGACTTGGGCGGTCCTGTTAGCAATGACAGGCAGCAGAAAGCGTTTCCATGTAAATTCCTACAAAGCTCTGGCTCTCTTGCTCCGGCTTCTATGATTGGAGCCTGGAACACGGATTCGAAGGACCTTCAGTCAGAAAGGGGACCTGCCACCTTCACGGCAGCACCCAGAGAGCAGCTTCCACGGGGCTGGATCCAGGACCCTAAACCATGGCCCCGAGGCTCTGCCCCTCTGCCCAGGCTGACGCCACGTGTCCTGCCCAGAATAACCAAGGCAACCAGTGACCGTGTCCGGTTCAGATCTGCTCTCCCACTGTTCCCAAATGAGCTTCGCAGGCCAGAGGTTTTGACTTGGAACTGAGCGAGATGAAAACTGTGAGAAGGGCCCCAGGGCAAGGAAGCCCTTCCCTCCCCCGCGGTCAATTCTGCTGCAAAATTTATTCCTGTCCCTCCAGGCCACCAGCGGAGGGAGAGCCAAGGCCCAGGAGGCTGCATGAAGAAACCCCGGCCACCACACCGTGTCCCCAGGGCCCACATGCTCCACTCTCTTTGGTCAAAGAGTCCCTGGTGCAGCGGGGTGACTGGTCCATAAAGATTGTGTCCACTTATGCGCCAGGCACGGGCAAGGGGCTGGGGATACCGAGAGCCTGGAAATGCACAACCCTCCATCACAGTGCTCGCCCATTTGGCTGGGGAGGTGCACACACTGCCCAGCCTCCGTCCTCCCCTTTGCAAGGCAGCAGATAAGTCTCCCTTTTCTATAGGCTGACCCTATCCTGTTATAAGGAGGCGCGTGCTCCCTCGCCAGCCGCAGTGATCAGTCCTGGGAGCTCACACAGCCCAAGCTACACCATTGGAAGTCCCTGGGAGACTTGTCCACAGAGTGAAGGGAAAAACGGCCTCTTCTCATCAGGGCTGCTAACCTGGGATTGCCAGAGGCCATCCCCCACTGCATGGAGAGAGAGCTGACACCCTGAATGAAGTCAAGTAAAGACAAGCAGGGCTGAGATGCCGGGAGAGAGACAGAGCTTTGAGTGCATTATTGAGGTCCTGGATCCAGCCATGCCTGCAGCTGCGCCTGGGTGAGATAGTTATAATAAGCCAACAGGCTCCCTTTTGGCTTACGTTCATCTGAGTTGGGATTCTGCACCAAGAGAGCTCTCCCTACCGCAGATAGGACAGCACTCCTGCAGTAATGCCGGATTAATACAATAGGTGCGCAGACAGGGGTGTGCAGAGGTGCTGTGGAAATAAGGCGGTAGGCAGGACTCAGGTCTTAAAGGATGACAGCAGCTCTCCAGGCAAAGGCCCTCAGAGGGTTCCAGGCAAGAAAACTGCATGAGCCTCAGGGAGAGGCAAGGGAGCAGGTCGGGGCACATACAGTTCACAGTGGCCATGAGGGCCGCATGCAGGCCACAGGCAGTGGAGGGGGCGGGTGCAGGAAGGCAGAGGGTGATGGTGGGAGCAGCACCTCCACTTTCCATCTTGGAGCAGAGAGGTGGTTAAACACCCACGACACACACTCACAGCAACCAGACATAATTCACAAATAGCCCCTCCTGTGTTCTCTCCCAGCAGTGTGAGGGGGACGCAGAACCAGTGTCTCCTCTTAAAATCCCCGAACCCTCCCGCTGGCTGGCCCTGAGCAGCAAAGAGGACACCTGCGCGGCCTTCCTCTCCCGGCCCCTAACTGAGCCACGGCTACATCCCGCTCCTCCCACCAAAGCTCTTCGGCCAGTCAGCCCTCAGGCTCCAGCGCGGCTCGGAGGGGCCTGCCCCTGGTATAGCGCCCATGGTCACTGTCGGACACTCTTAAAACAACGGCCGTGTTTCTGTTCTGCGCTGGGCCCTGAAGCTCATGTCATCAGCCCTGCCGGCTGTGGGGCTCCCGGATTCTCTGACCTTGACCCATGCTGCAGCCACTCCGCCTGTTTCCTGGGGCTGGTTTACACCCCGAGATGCAGGGAAGGCCCAGCTGCGGAGCCCCAGGGAGGCCAGGAGCTGTTCACAACTCCAGGAAGCCACACTGGGCCTCAGTTGACGAAGAAGGCGACACCTTCGTGTGGGCCTTGCCTGCTAATCGGTGTCCTCAACCCAAGGGCACAGGCGCCGCTCCCAGGCCGCGCAGGCAGAGTAGAGCTGGGGTGGATGGCAGGCTTCAGGGACCCAGCCCCGATGAGTCACTTGGAAGGCATTTGC
Organism: Homo sapiens; assembly: GCF_000001405.40. Classification (NCBI taxonomy): domain Eukaryota; kingdom Metazoa; phylum Chordata; class Mammalia; order Primates; family Hominidae; genus Homo; species Homo sapiens. The sequence goes on from NC_000021.9 coordinate 43,397,016, forward strand.
CCCAGAGCTTCCCTGGCCACTGCGCCTCCTCCCGCCCCAATCCAGCCCCATCTGGGTCCGAGCCTCTGGAGAGGAGCTGGCAGGTCAGGATGCGGTTCCCGTGCTCTTGCCTGTGTGTGGGGACCCGAAAGCCAGGCTGGTGGCCGAGGATGGCGAGCACAGCCCCAGCCCCTCGGCCTAGCGGGAGCTTCACGGGACGGTGCTCCCCCCACACCGTGGTGTTGCTTCTGTGGCCCCCTTCAGGGCCCACAGAGGGAAGGGGCCTGGCTCTCCCACGGGGCCTCTGTAATATTTAACCATAAACCAAGGCTGCGGGGAACCCCCAGTTTGCAGTAAACTTCCATTTCTCTCCACTGGATGCGCAGGACTCCACTCAGCCAGGTAGGAGAATCTGCACTCACCTGGTTTCCGGAGCAAGGAGGCTGATGGCATCAGGGACTACCTCCCCTCAGCTTCCTCGGGCCACGCAGGAGTCCCCGGCCCGCCTCCTCCAAGACAGTGTGCGCATTTTGCCCGAGACAACACGGGCCTCAGACCGGGTACCGTGCCCAAGCACACACGGGCACACGCCCCTCCCACCTCCGGGCCATGTCCTGCCAGAGTCCACCCTCCTGGGCACAGGGCAAGCTCAGCTCTCAGCTCTCCCTGCCTGGCTGGCAGCAGCTGCAGCAGGTCACACCAGCAGCTTGGGCTCCCAAGAGCCTCGGGACCCCAGAACCACAGGTGGCCTGGCCTCTGGGGATGGTCGGGGGCTGAGCGTGAGACCCCAGCTGGGTGGCAGAGGCTCCAGTACTGAGGATTCCAGGCTGTGGTAGCACTCCACTGCAGGCCGACCTGCAGGCCAGGAGGAAGGGGCCCGCCGCCCAGGGTGTCTGTTCTAAGGAGCGCAGGGACAGGGCCTCCCCTGCAGGCGAGGCCACAGAGTGGGCCACCTCCTCCTCCCTGACCCCTCCTCCCAAGGGGCTTATCCTCCTCTGCAGGGCTGGTGTTACTCCCCCAAAGCCATCACCCCCCTGTGTCACCTCCTCCCGTGGCCACTTGGAGAAGTGGTCATTGTGGTCACTCCCCACTGTGGTCACCTCCCCCCAGGTGACCTCCCCACCAGGTCAATTCCCCACCAGGTCACCACCCTACTATGGCCTCCTCCCCCAGAAGTCACTTCCTCCTGTGGCCAGCTCCCCACTGTGGTCATCTGCCCCCACATAACCTGACACTGTCAGGTCATCTCCCCGCTGTGATCACCTCCCCCAGAAGCCACCCCTTCCCGTGGTCACCTCCCACCAGGGTGTCTCCCCCCAGGTCACCTCCCCACCAGGTCACCTCCTCCTGTGGCCAGGTCCCTGTTGTGGTCATCTGCCCCAGGTATCTCCTCATCAGGTCATCCTCCCCTGTGGTCACCTCCCCCAGAGGCCACCTCTCCCTGTGGTCACCTCCCTCCCAGGTCACCTTTCCCCCAGGTCACCTCTACCCCACACTCATGCTGACCAACATGAGGTGCCCTTCTCCTGCCGGGAGCCCGCCCGGTCACCAACACTCCCCCTGGGGCTCTCTGGCTCCTGACCTGGAGTCACTAGGGCCAACCCCATCAGACATGCTGGACAACTTTATGTGGGTCACTTAATGCCTCTGAACCTCAGCTTCCTCTTCTGCACGATGGAGACAAAAACATTTGCTCTTCAAGCCTGTGGTAGGGACCAGGTCAGAGTAAACAGGAAGACAGCTTTCGGCCAGGCGGTGCACCTCGGTGCCGGTGAGTGTGAGCGTGTGTGCGTGTGCACGTGTGCAGATGTGTGTGGACGCTCCCTTCTCCGCAGCAGCTCCTGACCCCCTGCAGGTGACCCTCAGCCAGCCCCAGGGCTGCCCCCACTCTCCCCTGTGGACACCTACCTCATTTGGGGTGAAGTGGGGGGACTGGGGTGTGAGGGGTGCTTTGGGGGGCACACTTCGACCCCTCTCTCTGCAGGCCAAGTCCTGAGGCTCAGTTTCCTCCTCTGTGCCCCGGCGACGTGGTGCAGGCCTCGCGAGTGACGTGAGGGTTCATGACCCAGGTGTGGGCAGCCAGCCCTTCACGGGAGGCCACCCACCTGGCCACAGTGCCTGGGAATTTAGGTCGGGCACTGCCGATATGTCGCCTTCCACAAGGCGGGCCCGGGCCTCTGCTGACCGTGCACCGGTCCTGGGGCTGGGTAATTCTGCAGCAGCAGCGCAGCCCATGCCGGGGAATTTGCGGGCAGAGGAGACAGTGAGGCCCGCGTTCTGTGCGGGAACTCCCGAGCTCACAGAGCCCAAGACCACACGGCTGCATCTGCTTGGCTGACTGGGCCAGGCCCACGCGTAGTAACCCGGACGTCTCTCTCTCACAGTCCCCTTGCGTCTGGCCAGGGAGCTGCCAGGCTGCACCCCGCGGTGGGGATCGGGAGAGGGGCAGTGTCGCCCATCCCCGGAAGGCTGAGCCTGGTGCAGCCAGGGAGTGAGGGGGCGGGAAGCCGGGGTGCTGCCCTGAGGGTGCCCCGACACGCTCTCCTGGGGCCCTGAGCGGCTGCCACGTGCGTCCAGGGTTCTGGCCACAGGGTGGGCAGGGGCCCTGTGCTCCTCACTGGAGGCCCCTGAGGCTCTGGAACTGAGACCATCCACCCGCCGGCCCCCTCTCGCCGGCTCCGGCACCCCTGCCTACTGTGACTTCCTGCCCCGGACTCGCTCTGCCAGCTTGGGGCAAACCACTTCCCTCTGGGGTTTTCACTTCCCTCTTTCCCAAGTGGGGAAAGACCACCTGTCCCCGACCCAGAAAGGGCCCCTGCCCGAGGGCAGCAGCAGTGCCAGGCTGGCATGTGAGGCTTGGGGCAGGCCCGGCCCCCAGAGGCACAGGGCGATGCTCTGTGGGACGCTGTGTCGTTTCTAAGTACAAGGTCAGGAGAGGAGCCCCCTGACCCCGGAGGGGAGGAGAGGCAGGGCAGGAAACCGCCACCATCTCAGCCCACAGGCCTGGCTGCTGGGAGTTGCTGACAGCCCGCTCCTCCGGGGCCCCCAGGCCCAAGGCCACCCTGGGGTGTAGCTGTCCGCTAGGCCCTCTGTGCTCCCGGTCAACAGACCCACAGGGCCTGCTTGGCGGAAGGGGAGGGGTGTTAAGAATCAGCCCCCACAGAAAGCATTGCCAGGGGATTTTGTACCAAACCGAATGCACGGGTGGACGGGCAGGGCCTGTGGATGCGTAGGCCAGAGGGAGCGGAGCGATGACAGGGAGCCCCCGGGGTGGGCACGGAGCACAGTCCTTTCCCTCCCAGCAGGCACCTCCCACAGCCTCCCCACCTGCCCTCCGCCATCCCAGGTCGCCCCGACCCATCTGCTGGGGTCCTCACCCGCAGCCCATGAGTCTGGCCGCCAGGACGAGTGCCTATCAGCAGCCTAGACCCTGACCGCTGGAAGGTTGGGTTCTGTGGCCCAGGAGCAGTACCTGGCGTGCCAGGAATGAGCCCCTCTCACCACAGCCTCACACCCAGCCCCAGTCACACCACTGGGGACCGGGCTGGCCCCGGACACAGGCCCACCAGTTCCTCCACCCCTGATTAGGCCCTTCTGTGGTTGGGGTGGGGTAAGCCCTGCCCTGCCTTGCCCCAGAGGCCTTCCACCTCCATTCCTGCCCTCCCTGGCCTGCCCTGAGTGGCCAACTCCCCACGAGGTTTGCCCCCTGCTGAAACCCTCCCCATGCCCGGCTGGCACCGCTGTCCCATCCAGCAGGAGCAGCCCCTCCCAGCCAGAGCCTGCCCTCACAGTGGCTTCCCTCGCCGTGTCCAGGGCAAGGCGCCCCTCCCACCCCCAGCAGCCCTGCGAGGCTAAGGTCCCAGAAGCCTGGGGGAGACCCAGGAGCCATTTCCCAGGACGTAGCGGGGGCTTCCGGGCAGCCTGAGGAGGAGGGAAACGGAGCTTGTGTGGGTTCAGCAGGAACAGGCAGCCCGTGTCCCCCCTTGGGTCCAGCCTTCTGAGAGTCCCGCCTGCCAAGGCCCTCACCTCCCAGGGAAAGCACTTCACTTCAGTGCAGCTCCTTGCTGCGACAGCCAAGAGCCCCCAGAACAGCTCCGAGGAGGTCGCAGGACATAAGAAGCCCCAAGGTTGTTTCTGGGGGCCATGGGGGAGGAGAGCCCTGGGGCACCCCACAAAGAGGAGGAGGCAGAAGTGGGCAGGGAAGGGGAGGCTGTGGAGTCGCGGATCCCACCCGCAAGCAAGGGCTCTGCGCGCTGTTTTCTGTGTCTCTCCATCTGCCTCTGTCTACCCCAACAGGGAGGATGTGTTTATTTAAAGATGCCGCTACTCACAGCAGAAGTGTCTGTTTCAAAGCAGAAATATGATCCTGTTTGGGTTGGAGGAGGGAGTCATTCCATGAGGAAAATATTTCTTCTTTACAAAAAGAGGGCCCTGGAGCGTGGAGAGGGCAGGAGGGCGGACACCACGGGGCAGCTGAGAACTGGAAGCGGGGATTCTGGGCTCTGGGGCTAGGACCCCGGCCCAGGCTCTTCCCTGATAGCCCTGGTGACTCAACGCGTGGGTCTTTTGTCCTTCACGGATAGGAACCGGCGTGTTTGGGCTTCTTAGTTTCCTGTGGCTGCCGAAATTCATTCCATCACAATTCTGGAGGCCAGAAGTTCAAAATCAACATGTGGGCAGAGCCACGCACCCTCCATGGGTTCTAGCGGAAGATCCTTCCCTGCCTCGTCCATCTCTTCCAGCTCCTGGTGGCCCTTGGCTTGTGGCTGTGCCACTCCAGTCTCCGTCTTCACGTCCGTCCCCCTCGTGCCCGTGACTCTGGGTCCCAATTTCCCCTCCTGTCAGGTGTCTCTGTGACAGGACCCCTGTCACACAGGGATTAGGCCCACCTTGCTCAAGTATGACCTCATCTTAACTTGATGACTTCTGCACAGACTCTATTTTCAAATGAGATCACGGCAGGTGCCAGCGCTTAGGACCTGGACATACCATCTTGGGGGCACAATTCAACCCATAATACCCTCCTTCTTAAAAAGAAAGTGAAAGTGGAGGCCGACCTTGAAACGCCAAGGCCTTCCTCCTGCGGGGGCGGGGTGGGAGAGGGGCCTGGCCACCCGCTGAGCCCCGCTCTCAGGCAGCATCTCTGGTGGTAGGAGGGGCCCTGGGGGGCAGCACAGGCAACAAAACCCAGGATGCCCTAGAGGCCCGTCACTGCCCAGGGGGCTCTGAGGTCCGGCTGCAGCATCAGGGTCTGACCCGCTCGGACATTTACCGCCTCTGTGATCTGGACTGAAGGCTTCAACCTTTAGTTCTCCCTCTGTGAAGTGCGCTGACAGAGAGGCCTTGGTGAGGTCACCGGGACAGCTTGCCCGTGCCCAGCGAGGGAAGGAGGAAGATGGGGCCGGCCACTCCGCTCAGCTGCAGGACGACACCCTTATGTACTTCCCAGCTAACCTGAGACCTCAGTTTCCCCATCTGCACCCCTGTGAGGACAAAATCTCTGCTTTGCTCCCCACCTTACCCACGCATGAGGCCTCACCCTTTGACACAGCAAGATGAGCCCCAGGAACGGGAGGTGGGAGAAGGCAGCCTAGCCAGCCTCTACATCCAGAGGCCCACACCCCCAGCCTTGCGTCTGGGGAACGTCCCAGAGTCCAACCATCTCCCATCTGAGGGGCTTGGGGTCCTGCAGCTGCAGACGACTGCACCCTCAGGGCCGACACCCACCCTGGACGGGCAGACATGCACCCCTGCTTACGCCAACTGCTCTGTCTGGGTGCCAGGCAGGGACAATTCAGCCCTATCACGGGAGCACTGCCGGGGGCTCCCACCCACCTCTGGTCCTCCGGCCACGTGTGCCTCAGTTTCCTGACCCATAAAGCAGGGAGGCTGCGATGACAACCTCAGGGGGGAACATCCCCAGGGGCCTGGGCACAGTGGCGTTCAGGACATAAACCACTGTGGCCAAAGCCTCTGGGACAGGCCTCTGAGCATATGCAATCAGGAGAGTGGGGAGAAGCCAGTCGCTGGGTCCAGGAAGCAGAAGGGAGGGTGCTGAGGGCACCTGCTGTGGGTGCTTCCTTGGGGTAGAAACGAGACCAGAAGCCCCTAGGGATGAGAGCCTGGCCACGGCAGGGACCCTGGAATACAGATGGATCCCACATGCAGAGCGCGTCCCCGGGAGACCCCAGACCTGGACGGTCAGCAAGGCCTGGGGTGAGAAACAGCTCGGTCCCAGGTAGGAGGGGTGCCCAGAGCCACCACAGGCTCTGTGACGGGAGGGCCAGGCAGCCATCACCGCCCACTGGGCTGAGCCTGCCCTGCACTTCCAGCTCCTGCTCCCGGAAACTGCCCGGTGTGGGGGCCAGAGGGTGACCCCACAGCACTGTGGCCCAGAACACGCGAAGGCAAGCTTCACCCGACTCGGACCACTGCTACCGACCGTGGCCAGCCCACATCACTGGAGCCCGGGCTCTTTCCCCCGACTGGGGGCATTGCCGGGGTGTGTGCTGGGGTGCGCCCCCGTCCCCCACAGGACCTGGCCGTCCACTCCACTCACCAAGGGCAGCTCCAGCCACCCCCTGCAAGCTCTGCTGGACCCTCCCGCTCCCTCACCCATTGCTGTAACCTTCCCGCCATCCTTGGTGCCAACCCTACACCTGGGAGCCACAAACGCCTCTTGGATCCCAAGCCTCCAGGCAGGGTGGTTCTGAGCGGGGTAGCATCTCCCAAGCCCTGGCCAGCCCCGAACCCCCTGCACCACCCCAGCAGGGCCCGGGGAGCTGTGGTGCTCTGAATTCTGAGTGGCCGATGGCGCATCATGCCGGTGAGAGGTAATAATCACTGCCTGACTCAGACACGCAGACTGCTGGGCTGTCATGCCTATTTCAGGAAAATTAATTATACCCCATGCCGAGAGGGAACTCGCCCATTTAACGTCTTCAACGCACCTGCCCAGAATGCCATGGCACAGCCTGCCTGCACCCCTGGGCATGGGAAAGGGTGGGCAGAGCCCCCAGTTTCTCCAGGTGTCAGGCGGGCTTGCAGGGTGGTGGCCAGCAGGGCTCCAGGCCCTTCTAGCCAGGCCCGACCCCGTCACCACTGATACTGGAAACTGCAACCTTTGCCCAGGGAGTCCCCTTTGAAAGCCAAGCCTTTGATCCAGCTGAGTGCCAGAAAAGGCCTTGGGCCGGCCCTGGGGCTGGCCCGAGGACCTGGCTCAGGGACCTGGCTGGCCCTACTGTGGCATTAGAAAGCTCCGCACCAGTAAGCCGACCGTTGCCCACATGGGAAGGCTGCCCTATGCCCTCTGGACAGCTGGCCCTGCTGGCAAGCCCGTTTCCTTCTCCTACTTGCTCTATGGGGCCTGCTAAGATGGACAGCAGGCACGTCCAGGACCAGGGGCTGGGAGCTGGGCTTAGCTGCCCTGGGCTGAAATTCAGCCCAGGCCTCTGGGCCCCGAGCTTTACCTTTCCCTGGCAAGAGTTGATGTACACGTTGGCGTAACCAGGCTGCACACATCCCAGGACAAGCTTCCCAACTGTGACTAGCCATGGCTCACGTTTGCCTGGGTTCCCCCACCAGGCTCGCCCCAGGCCTGCCCTTGCTATGTCCTCAGACACCCGGGGGCAGGCACAGCTGTCACCCTCCTGGCAGCTGGAAAAGAAGGGCTTGAGCAGTTCTACAGCTCAGCGAGGCTGCAGGGCTTTGCAGGGAAGAGCCGCCAGGTGCCAGACGTCACGCGTGGCAAGGCAAATCCTACAGCCGGAACTGGCTGGCTCCGGTGCAGGCTTGGGACTTGTAGGCACACAGATCCACCCCGTCCTAGAGAAGCTGTCATTGCCACATCTACCAATTGAGGCTGTTGCATTTGTTAGTAGTTTTCAAATGTGTTTTGTCATTGTTATCATAAAAATAAATTTTATAAGAACACCATTCCACCAAACACAGTAAGAGTGATGGTTTCAGGCAAGCCCACAGCCTCCCTAATGCTTGCTGTGGCCCGGCGTCTACCATCTGACCACGAAGACGTGGACAGAGGCGTGTGCACCCCATCCCCTTCCCACGTAGAGATACAATGGGTAATTAATGCACAGTTGACCCAGGAGATGACATGAAAAGAGGACATTCCCAGGAACAAAGAGGAGACCAGACAAACCAACTGGACACAGAGCAAGAAACACAGGCATGTCATTCACTACACTCAATACTACATGGGCTTCAGCAACCTACGTGTGGATAAAGAAACTGTGGTGTGTGTATATATATATATATATATATATATATGATGGAATACTACTCAGACATAAGAAGTAATGAAGTAATGGCATTTGCAGCAACTTGGATGAGATCGGAGGCTATTATTCTAAGTGAAGTAACTCAGGAATGGAAAACCAAACATCGTATGTTCTCACTTATAAGTGGGAGCTAAGCTATGAGGATGCAAAGGCATAAGAATGACACAATGGACTTTGGGGACTCAGGGGGAAAGGGCGGGAAGGGGGTGATGGATAAAAAACTACAAATCGGGTGCAGTGTGCACTGCTTGGGTGATGGCTGCACCAAAATCTCACAAATCACCACTAAAGAACTTCCTCACGTAACCAAATACCACCTGTTCCCCCACAACCTATGGAAATAAAAACGTTTAAAAAAAGGCTGTTAAATGGGCTAAACTCACCAATGAAAAGCAGAGATGGTTGGACTGGCTAAAAATCAAAGACTTAAAGTATGCTGTCTGCAAGAATCACACCTGAAAGACAAAGACAGACTGCAAATATAGAAATGGTCAAAGATACAGCATTCAAACCCTGACCCCGGGGCGGCTGGCACGGCCACGAACATCGCAGGCAACATAGACTCCAGGGCAAGGAAGATGGACGAAGACACGTGGAGACAGTTCATCAGTGAAGAAAGGGTCAGCCTGTTAAGGAGACCCACAGTCCTAAATATGCACGCACGTGATGGAAAGCTTCAAAATATGCAGCTGGAAATGAGAGCAGTGAAGACACAGATGAAGGCACGAGCTTCGTCCGCCACCTCACGCTCTTCCCCCAGCAATGAACAGAGAAAGAAGACAGGTCAGTGGAATGTAGACAGCTCCAAAAACAGCATCTCCAGCTCGCTCGGATGTCTGGAGGCTTCCCGACCGCAGCAGAATACGCGCTTTTCTCAGGGCACATGGTGTAGACCCAAGCAGTCAGCTGTAAATTAAAAATTAACAACTAAAAGTTACCTAAAAATGGCTAAGTATTAAATAATTAGAAATGGAACACATTTCTAAGTGACCCACAGGTAAAGAAGGAAATTACAAGAAAAACAGAAAACATTTTGCTTTTTTTTTTTGAGACGGAGCCTTGGTCTGTCGCCCAAGCTGGAGTGCAGTGGTGCAATCTCGGCTCACTGCAACCTCCGCTTCCCGGGTTCAAGCGATTCTCCTGCCTCAGCCTCCCAAGTAGCTGGGATTACAGGCGTCCACCACCACAGCCGGCTAACTTCTGTATTTTTAGTAGAGACGGGGTTTCACCATGTTGGCCAGGCTGGTCTCGAACTCCTGACCTCAGGTGATCCACCTGCCTCAGCCTCCCAAAGTGCTGGGATTAAAGGCATGAGCCACCGTGCCCAGCCTAAAAACAGAAAACATTTTGAACTAAATGAAAATAAAAACACAACACACCAAAACATACAGGATGTAACTAAAGGCGTGCTTATTGAGAAATCAGAGCTTTAAATGTTTATATCAGAAACAAGATATAAAATCAATGATTTGATCTTTTAAAAAGCTAAAGAAGAGAAAATTCAAATCAAATTAAGTAGAAAAGGGTGATAATACAGAGAGGAAATCAACTACATAGAAAATGAATAAGCAATAAAGCGAATCCATGGAACCCAAGGGTGGATCTTGGAAAATTAAAACAAATTGATAAACTTCCAATCAAAAAGATAAAAGAGAGTAAATACAAACCTTTAATATCAGAAATGAAATGGAAGACATTAGCACAGATTCGACACAACAGAAAGGTAATAAAGGAATATTGTGGACCAGGTGTGGTGGCTCATGCCTGTAATCCTAACACTTTGGGAGGCTGAGGTGGGCAGATCACCTGAGGTCAGGGGATCGTGAACAGCCTGGACAATATGGTGAAACCCCGTCTCTAAGAATACAAAAATTAGCTGGGTGTGTTGGCAGCCACCTGTAATCCCAGCTACTCTGGAGGCTGAGGCAGGAAAACCGCTTGAACCTGGGAGGTGGAGTTTGCAGTGAGCCGAGAGCGCCCCACTGCACTCTAGCTCGTGCGACAGAGCAAGCAAGACTCCATCTCAAAAAAAAAAGAGAGAGAGAGAGAGAATATTGTGGACTTTACACCAACAGACCTGACAACCCGGAGGACAGGAGCATGTGCCGTGACAGACGCGAACTTTCAAACTCACTCGAAAACGAAATCCCAGATCTGAATGGTTCTCAACCTACTAAAGAAACTGAATTTGGGATTCAAAACCTTCTGATTAAGAAACTAGGCCCACATGCCTTCCGTGATTTAAAGAAGCATTTAGGGACTCAAACATTCAAGGAACAAATAATAACAATTCTACACAAGTAGACAGTCAATACAAGGTGCAGAAATTGACAAGCTGATTCTAAAATGTATACAGAAATGTAAAAGACCTAAAAAAGCAAAAATAATTTAGAGAAAGAACAAAATTAGATGATTTCCACTACCTGGTTTCATTAAGATTTAAGCTATGAGGATAATAATAATCAAGACACGTGCTGTGCTGGCCAGGTGCGGTGGCTCACGCCTGTAATCCCAGCACTTTGGGAGGCCGAGGTGGGCGGATCACAAGGTCAGGAGATGGAGACCATCCTGGCTAACACGGTGAAACCCCGTCTCTACTAAAAATACAAAAAATTAGCCGGGCGTGGTGGCGGGCGCCTGTAGTCCCAGCTACTCGGGCGGCTGAGGCAGAAGAATGTCATGAACCCGGCAGGCGGAGCTTGCAGTGAGCCAAGATCGTGCCACTGCATTCTAGCCTGGGGAACAGAGCAAGACTCCATCTCAAAAAAAAAAAAAAAAAAAAAAAAAGACATGTGCTGTGCCACAGAACAGATAGATCCGCGGAACACAGCAGAGCCCAGAAGCAGACTCTCGAGTTGATGGTTACTTGATTTCTCACAAATGTGTCATATTAATTCAATGGGCAAAGCGGAGTCTTTCAGTAAACGGCGCTGGAACAACTGGTTATCCACAGAAAAAAATAAAAATAAACCTCAACTGCTATCCCGAACCAGAGGCAAAAATCAACTCAAAGTGGACAGAGCTGTAGACACGAAGGCTGAAAGCATAAACCCACTGGAAGGGCACACAGGAGAGCCCCCAACACTGGGGTAGACAGAGCTTTCTTGGATAAGACACAAAAAGCACCAGCTGCAGAAGATTAAATGATCAGCTGGACTTCATAACAATAAAAACCTTCAACTCTTCACTCTTCAAATGAAAGGCAAGCCACAAGGGAGAGAAATATTCTGTGTGTGGCAGGAGGAGAGGGTACAGACACATACACTCATGTGACAAAGGGACTTGGGTTCAGAATATAAGGTCAGAATATAAGGAACTCCAACAACTCAATAATAAGAATTCAAACAACCCAATAAAAATTAGCAAAGGTGGGGCACGGGGGCTCATGCCTATAATCCTAGCACTTTGGGAGGCTGGAGGATCACTTTAGCCCAGGAGTTCAAGACCAGCCTGGGCAACATCGTGAAACCCCTTCTCTACCAAAAATAATATACAAAAATTAGCCAGGCGCGGTGGCGCATGTCTGTACTTCCAGCTACTCAGGAGGCTGAAATGGGAGGATTGATTGAGCCCAAGAGACAGAGGCTGCAGTGAACCAAGATGGCACCACTGCATTCCAGCCTGGGTGACGGAGCGAGACCCTGTCTCAAAAAACAAAAACAAAAACCAGCAAAGATGCAAATAAATATGAAAAATAGAATGGCTAATTACAAGACAGTCAACATCACCAGTCATCAGGAAAATGCAAGATAAAATCATGATAAGACACCACGACAGACTATCCAAGTGGCTAAAATTTAAAACACTAACAACGCTAAGTGTTGGTGAGGGTTGGAGCAACCGGAGCTCTCGTACGTGGTGGGCAGGAACGCAAATAGGAGCAGCCCCGTTGGAGAGCAGCTGGGCGGCTTCTGTCGAGTGAATCGCTCTCATGCCACACGAGCCAGCCTCTGCACCTTGGCCTACATTACCCAATAGAAATGAGACACGTCCACACCAGGATTCACAGCAGCATCATTTATAATCGCCCCATGCCGGGAACCACCCAAACGTTCATCACCAGGTGAGTGGGTAAACAAACGGTGGCCTTCCCCACCACGGAACACGACTCAGCAGGAAACAGGAATGAGCTCCTGATGCGCGGCACGTGGAGGAAGCCACGTTTAATTATGCTGAGTGAGAGAAGCCAGCCCATCAGGAGCACACGCTGTCTGATTCCATTCCTAGGAATTCTGGAAAATGCAAACGCATGCCCAGTGACAGGAAGCAGGTCATCCGTTGCCTGGGGCCGGGAACACGGCAAGGGCACGGAGCGGAGAGCCCAGGGGAGCTTTCTGGGTGACAGGCGTGTTCTGTGCGTCAATTCTGATGGTGGTGACCCAGGTCGGTGCCCGGCAGAACTCCTTGAAGTTCGCACCAAAGACGACGCATTTGGTTCAGGTCACTGGGAGCTCGGTGGAGCTGATTTGTTCTGGGGCACATTTCTGCTGAGACGGATTTGCGTTCTCCCCTGAGCCTCACAGTCTTCCGGCCCCCCGCTCTGGAACCCAGGGCCCCGGGCTTTCCACTTAACCTCTTGGCTGGAAGGGAACATGCTCTGTGATCATAGGAAGGTACCTTCCCCTTCAAATTTCAAAGAAAAGCCCCTAAAATCTGCTGGGGAAGCCCATTCATTCCAGACCAGAACACTGCAAAGGACAAAAGGGGAATGGAGCATTTCTGGCCACCTGGGTTCCCTGAGTACTTTTTCTAAGTCCTTTCTTGTTTCTTGTTTCTTTCTTTCTTTCTTTTTTTTTTTTAACAGAAATCACATTCAAATAAGTGAAATAATAATAATTAGAAAAAAGTGAGTCAGACTGAGACCCCAGCAGTTCCCCTGAGGAAAGAAACTGAACATTCCCTACCTCCTCCCTCCCTCCCTCCTATCTCCCTCCTCCCTCCCTCGTCTCCCTCCTCCTTCCCTCCTCTCTCCTTCCCTCCCTCTTCTCTCCCTCTCTCCCTCCTCTCTCTCCTTCCCTCCCTCCTCTCTCCTCCCTCCTCTCTCTCCTCTCTTCTCTCCCTCCTCTCTCCTCCCTCCCTCCTCTTTCTCCTCTCTTCTCTCCCTCCCTCCCTCTCTGCCTCCCTCTCTTCTCCCTCTCTGCCTCCCTCCTCTCTCTCTCCTTTCCTCTTCTGTCCTCCCCTCTCCCCTCCCTCTCCCCCTCTCTCTTCTCTGCCAGGCGCCACACCAGCTGCACAGGCAGGACCCGGAGCCCAGCCCTCCTGGTCTCTGAAGAGCCAGACCTGGACACCTTCCTCAGGACCCGCCCGCCTCCGAACAGCAGACTCCTCCCAAGATCAGAGGTGGGGCCACAGGCAGGGCGGCTGTGCTCACCCAAGCCCTCACCAGCATGCCGCCTCAACACCCCGGTGTTATTCCGGAAGAAACACGAAGAGGCCAACTCTGTTTCTTCCACCCCAAGAGAGTCGGTTCCTCTTAGGTCAGATTCAGTTCCTGCCTCCGAGGGAGGCGAGCACGTGCAGAAACAGGTGGATCTTGCCTCGGCTCCCTCCAGGCTGGGCCCAGGGACCTCCCTCTGGCTGGGGCATCCCCTCTCTCCCCACCCCCACCCCGAGAGGCCAGTCCTGCTCCTGGGAGCCAGTATTTCTGGACTGCCGGAAAGCCTTCTTCTTATCCCGCGGCCCAGCGAGGAGAGCGCCAGCCGTTCAGGGTGACAGAAAAGCACAGAGGCAGGGCCCAGGCGCCTCCAGGCGAAGGCCTCCGCTCCCACCGCTGCGAGAGGAGGCGCGTCCACGACGGAATAAGCAGGCGGTCAGGTCGCCAACAATCCGGTCAACCACGGTGCTTCTTCCCTGGTGGGTGTCTGGCCCCGTTCTTGCTGGGGATGGCGCTCGGGGATGCCACCGTGTTTCCCCAGGGCCCACTGTGCACCCTGCATGTCGCGCCCTTGTCACGGGAGCGGCCTGCTGACCCGGAGCACGCGTGGCCGTCACAAAGGGCTGCAAAGCTGCAGCACCAGAACGCAAACTCAGGCGTGCGGCAACGGAGGCCACGTTCTCAGCCACCGTGCCACTCTGCATGTCAGCTGGCTGGGCGTGCCTCCGTCTTGTGTTAGCAAGGACATGGCAATCACCTGATTTGCTTTGGTTGAAGCTCCAGGCAGTACCTGGCCCCTCACCAGACTGAAAAAGAAAGTCCCAGAACCCCAGAACCCCGTATGGCTCAGAAGTGCCATCGAGTACTAGGGGTGCGCCAGGGCCCGGCTCAGCCCGGCCAAGCCCCAGCAGGAAGGAACATGTCCTCAACGAGAACATCCTGCAAAATGCCCGGGGTGGGTGGGGGATGCTCACGGTGCCAGACGTGGGCTAGGGGCCATAAAGGACCCTCAGGCAAGGGGCAAACACACCCATGGGTGTGGCCAGCTCCCTCTACCCATCAGGACCTCCCCAGTGGAGGGACTGAAATGACTCAGGAGCAGATCAAGGGGCCCAGGGCAGAATTCTGGAGTCCTACAAGGCCTGTGGGAGGCTCCCCAAGGGGGGCTCCAACTTTCAACCTGAGAAGTCTAAGCCTCTATCACCATCATCATCGCCATCGTCTTCGCCACCATCAGGAGTTCTGGAAGAAGCGCCCAAGCATGGGAGACACAGGGATGGTTTTGCCAGTGCTGTGTGTTAAGGAGCTGCTACCTGCTGGGGCTGCTTCAGTACCCTGGAGCACCATGAGACACATCTGTCCCCACGAGGAGCTGACCACTAGGTCGGGGAGCTGAGACATGGGCAGGTCACACCCTGAATTCGCATGCACGACACGACAAGAGGTTCCGACTCGAGGTTCCTGGTTTCTAAGGCTCCCAAACAATAAACACAGGTGCCCTCAGCACAGCCGCCCGGCTCCTTGTTCAGCAGATGCCACACAGCCCAACCTTGGTGTCCTGAGGCGGCCCCACTCTAAGCGGGGTGGAGCGACGAGGCTGCCTGGAGACAGAGCAGCTCCGTGGGCCCCCAGCTCCCCTGCCAGATTCCCCCACACAGGCATGGCCCAAGCAGGCACCTCCGCTCACTCAGGAGTGCTCAGCCCTGGTTTGGCCTCCCTGTCAGACAGCCTCAAGCCACTAAGCCAGCGGCAGCCACAGCCAGGACCTCGGAGGCTACTGCTTTGTTCTTAGAGACAGCAAAACCGCAGAGATGACTCAGAAGACAAAGAGCCCCCTCCCCGGCCTCTCCCACCATCCAGCTGCCTGAGGGGCCGTCGCAGTGCAGGCTCTCCCGAGGGCCAGGACGCCCTGTCTGAGCAGGGCTCCAGGAACAATGAGGCTGGCCCCGGCCACACTTATGCCCAGCCAACCTCAGCACCGACAGTGGCCTGCCCTGTGCCTGCCCCTGCCCATGGCTCCTGCCTGCTCTCCTCATGGGAACTGCTGCGCACTCACTGAGCATCTGCCTCCTTGAGAAAAAACTTTGTTTTCTTCTTAAAAACATTGTGGTCCCGGCGCAGTGGCTCACGCTTGTAATCTCCACACTTTGGGGGGCTGAGGTGGGCGGACCTCAAGTGTGAGGTCAGAAGTTCGAGACCAGTTTGGCCAACATGGTGAAACCCCATCTCTACTAAAAATACAGAAATTAGCCCGGCATGGTGGTGGGGGCCTCTAATCCCAGCTACTCAGGAGGCTGAGGCAGGAGAATCGCTTGAACCCAGGAGAAGGAGGTTGCCGTGAGCCAAGATCACGCCACTGCACTCCAGCCTGGGTGACAAAGCAAGGCTCGAAAAAAAAAAAAAAAGTAGTAAAATAAACGTAACATACAATGTATCGTTTTAACCATTTTTCGGTACACAGTTGAGTGCGTTAAGAACGTTCATACTGTTTTGCAGCCATCGCCACCGCCCAACTCCAGCACTTTTCATCCTCTTAAACTGCAATTCCCACCCATTCATCTCTGGCTCAGCAGCCCCTCCCCAGCCCCCGGCACCCCCCACTCCCCCTTCTGTCTCTGTGAATCTGTCCCCTCTAGGGCCCTCGAGTGTGTGTTCTTTTATGACGGGCTTGTTCCACTGAGCACGGCATCCTCAGGGTCCATCCTCGCTGGCAGCCATGCTGGGCTTTCCTTTTGTACGGCTGAGGCCTATTCCACTGTCGGCATGGACTACATCTTCTTTGTTTGTTTTTTTGAGACAGAGTTTCGCTCTTGTTGCCCAGGCTGGAGTGCAATGGCACAATCTCGGCTCACCACAAACTCCGCCTCCTGGGTTCAAACGATTCTCCTGCCTCAGCCCCCCCGAGTAGCTGGGATTACAAGCATGCACCACCATGCCCCGCTAATTTTGTATTTTTAGTAGAGATGAGGTTTCTCCATGTTAGTCAGGCTGGTCTCGAACTCCCAACCTCAGGTGATCCGCCCACCTCAGCCTCCCAAAGTGCTGGGATTATAGGCGGGACCACATCTTCTTGATCCCTTCATCGGCTGACGGCCCCTCGGGCTGCTTCCTAGTATGGCTGTCGTCATGCTGCTGTGAACATGGGTGTACAAACCTCTCTGGGCCCTGCCTTCAGTTCTTCAGGGTCCATACCATTAGGAGGAGCGGCCGGATCAGGTGGTGGTTCTAATCTTTGAGGAGCTGGTACACTGCTCTCCCATAAAGGCTGCGCCATTTGACCCTCCCACCAACAGCGCACAAGGGGTCCATTTTGGTAAGGACCACCTTAATGGGAGCGAAGAGGTTGAAGAGCTTTTTTTAACCAAAATATCCACCAGGTGACAACATGAACAAGTCCTTTGTTCTCATAAAGCAGCAGTGTGTGCCCTCTTGCTAGAAGGTGGTGAAGTCTTTCAGAGACCAGGAAATGGTTTGGCTGTGAGATTCTTCCAACTGCTTAATTTATAACCAGACTCAGAGAACCTGGCGGAGGATGGGGTAAGGATGGATGGTGCCGGCAGCCCCGGGCGGTGCTGAGACTTTCAGTGACTGAGCCCGGCCACTGGGGAAGGGTCCTGAGGAGGGGGCAGACCACGGGGCCACCTGTGGCTGCCGCAGGGGGAGGGGTCCTCTGCAGACGGAAGGCCATTAGTTCCCTGCAGTGAGGTGGAATGCAGGAGTTGGCTCCCTGCCCTCCTCTTTAAGATTTGAAACTTCTACAAGCCTGGAGGATGTGGCCTCTCAGGGAAGCCGCTTGGAAGGAAAGAGCTCCCAGAGAGATGAGAGAGAGAGGAAGGGAAAAAGTCAAGGTTTTTTCCTTCCAAATATTTTATTTAAATATTAAATTAAAAAACATACATCAACTAATCATTTGGCATACATTTCTCATGTTAACATAAGAGATAAAATAATTCAGTTATGGTAAAAAAAAAAACTATGTACATCTCAATCAGATCACGTAGTGTCTTTAAATAGGCTATTGCATTGCCGTCTGTATTACAGCACTGTCAAGAAATCTACAAAACACACATCACACACTCTTAAAAAAACAAGTAAAACACGCCTTTAACGTCCTCCAAAAGAGGTTCCACAGCAATAAGAAAAAACAAAAACCACCGTGAAAGTAAAGTGCTTGTCATTGCTTCAAAGAGGAAACACACAATGGTTTCTGAGGCCTTTGATCTATGGCATTAGAACAGAAATCATTTTAAAAAGGGGAAGGGGTTTTGTGTTGGAATCAGTTGTGCTACCTCTGTAAAAATGAAGGCAAGGGCCTGGCTGCCCCAAGATGGTCTGGATTCTCTCCCATCCCAAAAACTTCTTTATGAGCGAACAGGAGACTTTGGTGTTTTCTCTGCGGCAAGGCACCTGGTCTGCCCTCCGGACAGCCTTTCGCCCAGTCTTTGAAACAGCCACAGAGCAGCAGCAGCAGCAGCAGCAGGAATGGGGGCAGCCAGCTTCCCTGCGGCCCGGCACAGGCACAGCCCCCGGTGGGCACCAGCAGGCCAGGGATGCAGCCTCCTGCACTGGGCCCGCCTCCCTACCCTCAAGTAACTGGGTCAATCTTTGGCTTTTAAAAATACCCGCCTTTCCCCTTTCTCAATGCCTCTGTTTAACACTGCAGGGTTTAAGAAGCCGAAGTAGCTGAAGGCACCTGGGCTGGGTTTGGGGGCGGGGACTGGACTCAGGGAGCAGCATTGCCTTCGTTGCCTTCCAGAGGCTTCTGGCTGGTGGAGCCCCACGGAGTCCACCTGCTAAAGGTGCGCCCAGACCTGCCAGGTAAGGGCCGCCCCTTCCTGCCGCCTCCACCCCAGTGCTGAGGGAGCGAAGGCCCTGGGGCCCCTTCCTCAATGCACACCTGTGCTGACAGGGACGCTTCTTAACAACAGGAGCGAGGGAAGCTGAAACCTGGAACACAAACGTATAGTACAAAATGTAACAAATAAGTAGTGTCTACCTGTCTCCCATGTAGATACATATACAGGATTTGCTTTAAAAAAAAAACAAAAACTTAAAAACACTGACCTAAACCTCTCACTTTACCTTCCTTGAACAAAACCCAAAAAGCCTAGGTGGGGGGTGGGGAGGGGGGTCCCGGCCCAGGGCAGGCACCGCCCTGAGCCATGAGCCATGAGCCATGAGCCTGTCTCCCAGCTGCCCAGCCCTACAGTCAGCCTCCAATATTGCACAACTTCACCCAAGTCAGGTGTTCTTGTTGGACCCCATCATGAAATGCATAAACGTCAGCAGCAGCGGAAACGGGAGGTGCAGCAGGAAGAAGCTTCTGGGCTTCCGCAAGGGCACGCAGGGGCTCAGGGCCAAGTGACCCTCAGGACGGAGTCCCCAGCACTTTGAAGTCACCTCTGCCCTCTCTGAGGTTCTTCCTGCCGTTCCTCCGCAGAGTCCTGGAAAACTAATCCTTGAGCAGTTTATGAAACTTCTCAACTAAAATAAGAAAAAAAAGTCTTCCAGGTTTTGATTTCAGGGGAGAGAATTCCTAGAATCTGTAGATGATCTTTGCCTGGGCTGCTTTAAAACTGATACATGAAGCAGAAAGTTCACAGTTTTCCTTAAAGCAGAAATCAGGAAGTGGAGAGCGTTGACTAAAGAAATGGATAGTAATCAATGCACGCGCACACACACACACACACACACACACACAAGCGGACAACAATGCGCCCGCTCGTTTCCGTAGACGTCCGAGGTAATCATCTCAACCACGACGAACCCAGAGAGAGGGGCCGAGATCCCCACACCACGGCACTGCACGTGTTCCCTCCACCCCGCTCCCCTCCTGCCCCCGCCCCCAGACACGCCCCTCAATTATCTTTCTTCCTAAAGTTTCCAGTCCCTACTCAAAGTTGAGGTCACTCAGTGCAAGAAAAAAATAAAACAAAAATAAACTAAAAAGCCAAAACACCTAACGTATTGCTTATTTCGCTTCTAGAAAGTTCTTGGCTTTGAGGCCAGATGTCTTCACCTCCTCTGAAGTTATTGCTGTAAGAGTCAGTGTCCGTGCCAGGATGCAGGGCTGCCCTCACTGCACCAGGACAAACGTGCCTAGGGAGCAGGGCATCAGGTCCTCCATCTCACAGTCCCCCTGCAGCAGCCCCAGGGGCTCACAACCTGGGGCCAGCCTGGCCAGGCGTGGTGGGGGCACAGCGGGGAGGGCGGTGGGGCCGGTGCCAATGTGCAGGTGTGTGTCCAGGAGCTGCGCCGCTGAGGCCACCGGGGACGCGCCGGTCTGCAGGAGTGGGGGCGGCAGCAGCGGGAGCCCCGACGTGAGGAGGGTGCTGGGGAGCGGGGCAGCCCCAGGGCCATCACAGGGGGCGATCACAAACGGGGCAGGGGCCGGCTGGGGGGCCTGGGAGCAGCCGGGTGCAGCGGCCGGGTGGTGCTGTAACTGGAGCAGCCTGTGGGAACAGAGGACAGGTGGTCACTGCGCCGGCTCGCAGGGTTCTCGGGTTTCCGAGTGCCCGTGTGGCAGGGCCCGCCCGAGGAGCTGCCAGCCGCGGCTGCCGAGGGCAGGTGCGTGGCTGATCCCTGACCGCGCCCCACCTTTCATTCTCCACCCGGTTTCTCAGCAGCTCAGAGATGCGGCCACAAGGCGCCCTCGCTCCCCGCCACCCTCACCCACCCAGGGACTTTAAAGGACACGCCCGCCTGCTGCACCCCCATGGCTCAGCACCTAGGACCTACGCCCCACACATCTCCCTGGCTGGGAGCGGGGGTGTGCACTGGGCTACAGAGAGGAGGGAACCACTTAGCAGATGAGGTTCCTCGAGGAGATAACCTGCCGTGTGCCCACCCGGGGTCCCAGGGCGGGGGCAGGCCCTACCTCTGCTGCTCTAGCACCTCCTCCAGCAGGCTCCAGCCCTCCCGGCTGCCGGCTGCGCCGCCGTGCAGGCCTGGGCTCTGTGCAGGGGCGTGGAAGGGGCTCAGGCCGCCCCTGCTGGCCCGGCTGGCGGGGGCCTGGCACACCTGGCGAGCCAGCCCCTTGATTTTGTTCAGTCCCAGAAACCCTTTGGTCCGCGTGGTCTTCCTCAGCTGCTGCCGAAAGGCCTTCAGCCCTGCAGGGAGAATGAATCAGGAGGTCAACGGCCACCCGGCTCTCAGCCCAGCATCCACGGCCCTTGGCTTAAGGGGTTTCCAAGCCTCAGGTTGGGGGTAAGGAAAGGACGGGTGACACAAGCACGTCTGGACAGGAGTCTGGCACCTAAGCCCCAGGATGGCGTGGAGGCAGCCGGCAGCCAGGGGCCCTCCCTCCTCCAAGTCGGGAGGTGCTGCCCAGCACAGAGTCGTCTCCTGTGCTTTCAGAACCAGCCATGGAGGCCGCGTGCTCAGGGACCCATGTGTGTCTATCCCAGCAGGCCGTGACGCCCCGAGCCACCAGAGCACTGAGCACCCCAGCCTGCCCAGAGCACTGAGGGTCCCACCCAGGCCCGGTGGAGAACAGGGGGTGCCATCTGCCATCACGGACAAAGTCACGTACTGCCAGAGACACACATGGTCCCCTGGGGAAGGTGGAGGTAAGTGTGGGAGGAGCGTGGCTCACCTTGAGTCAGTGAGGTGTCCGACGCCCGCCGTCCCTCCTGGAAGCTGACAGGGAGCAGAACAGCTCCTCCCAAGCCCCCCTGAGCCTGCAGCACTGGGGTGGCGGACTGCGACCCCAGGAAGGGCGAGGCCAGCCTGACCGGGGAGCAGGCGCCCAGCAGCCCCTGAGTGGCCGGGGTGCCACTGAGCCCCGCGGGGCTTTTGCTCGCAGAGAAGGTCAGACAACTGTCAGAGCTGGTTCCCTCTGCAGGACTTGCCGTGGTGGAGGGGGAGACGACTATACCTGTGGGGGGAGGACAGCGCTTTTGATGCTGCAGTGCAAAGGAATAGGCTCCCCCGGCCACTGCTGGGCACACATGGCTGCGCTGGCCTCCCCATCCCCACCATCAACCTGGTGGGAAGAGGGCTCGAGGCCACCAGAGCCCAGGGAGCCACAAAGGCAAGCCACCATCACGGTGCAGCTGCAGGGGGCAGGTCATAGTGGGCCTCAGGCCAAGGGGCTGCCCTCCCGGCACCCAGGGGCGGCCTGGGGAGGACCCTGCTGGAGGCCAGACCCCATGCTGTATCCTCCACTGGAACGACCACATGCAGGGCAGGCTCTAAACATCAACTGTGTGGTCTCAGGGATTAAAACAAATGGCAAATCCTGAGAAGTCCAACCTGAGAGGCTGCCGGGCAAAACGTCCATTCTAAATTAGCCCACCCTCACGTCGACCGTAAGCCTATCCACCGGTGTCCTCCTGGGCCCCCGGGGACACTTACATGGCGCGGTGAGTGGGGAGAGGCGGGTGGAGACCTCGGCCAGGGTGTGCCTCCGGCCCGTGCTGCTGGGCAGGGACTCCTGCGTGTCCTGCTCCTCCTCTAGGCCCGGCCCCTGCCTGGCCTCCTCACTGATGGCTGTGTCCAGCAGGCTGCTTGGGGACACGGGCCGGGGCCGGAACACTCCGCTGCAGCTGGCATCCACCGGGAAGAACAAGGGCTGCGTTGGAGAGACACAAGCCAGTGACTTCTCGGACTCCAGGTGACCCGGGCACACCGGGGGCACCAGGGCTGGGCTGAGGCGAGCCCTCTGCACACCCGCTGTGGGCACTCACCCACTGCAGCGAGCTCTGGAGCTCACAGTCCATCTCGGCCTGGAGGACGGACTGCACCAAGGTCTGCGGCTGCGGGCACAGCAAGGCAGGTCGGAAAGGGTCGGTGGAAAGACCTTCCTGAGGCACCTGGGGCCGGCAGACGGGAAAGACGCTGTCAGGGGAGCGACTCCGGACCACCAGCGCCATCAAGAGAAGAAACAAGCTGGCTTCTGTCTGGAGTGCAAGCTGCCTCGCTGGTGGGCATGACAGCTGACGGAGGGACACTGGCTGGCCAGGCTGGGCTCAGGACCAGGTGCTGGTGCTGCGCTGCCAGAAGGTGGCGTGACAGGCCGGCCCCAGGGATGAGTCAGGGACAAGTGGCCTCTGGGCAGAGTCCAGCCCCCAGCAGCTGGCACCCCCTTCCCCACGAGGCCTGGGACCCACTGCCCACGCAAGGAACCGCCCTCCAAGCCGGTGCCTGACAGGGGAGGGAGCCTGGGGCCTGGGAGGAGACTCCTCCCCCTCACCTCCAAACCACTGAGGTCCGAGCTCCGAGGCCGCGGCTGCCTGGCAGGCCCGGGGCGGGCGCACTGGGCATTCCGATACTCCTTGAGCCGCTCAAGGAGGAGGTAATAAATGGCAGCAAAGTGGTTATAGCTGCTGTTTTGCAGTGACTGGGAACAAGAGGAGCAGAGATCAGCATGGGGATGGCGGGGAGCCCCAGGGCCCACCCGATCCCAGGTTATTCTTGGGTGACTGAGAATATCCTTTAGTGGGGTGGACAAGCCGGCCCCTAAATTAGCCTGTGCTCCCGTTTTAACTCAGCTGGTGAGTGCCTGCTTCCCCTGAGACAGCTGCCTAGCCCCTGCGGGTGAGGCCAGGGCAAGTGTGGCCAGGCTCACCTCCACCGTCCTCTGCCGGTCCACGCCCAGGGTCTGCATGATACCCAGCGCCTGCTCATCGTAGTCGCCCAGGTTGGAGGTGTAGCTGTGTGCGGAGAAGGCGGGGCAGGCGGGTCCCGGCAAGCAGGGCTCAGCCCGCATCCACCGGTGCTGCCGGATCTGGGCGATGGTGATGCGCCTGGCGGGGTCCACCACCAGCATGCGGCGGATCAGGCTCTCACAGTCTGTGGAGGGGCCAGGAGGCTGAGCCAGGGCGGCCGGGACCTCGGCTGCGCTCCCACCCACCGCCCCACGTGGTTTGACACGCCAGGGCCCAGGAGCAGGGGCCGGGCCATCGGCTCAGTCCTGCCACCCAAGGGGAGCCATCAGCCAGGGATCCAGACCCTGGGGGCTGCCACACTTTGTGTCCACCACACAGAGAACCACTTAGGTTCACCCTTCTGCCGTGCCCCACACCTGAGCACCAGGTGGACAGGCATCTTTATGACACAGAAAAGCCGGGTGAGCCACAGCCAGTGGGTTGGACTCAGGGATGATGCCAGCACCCTGGGTGCGGGTACTGGGCGGGGACGGCAGGCGCAAGGCACAAGCCTGTGCAGCAAGGGCACCCGTCCACCCTCGAAATAGGGCACTGAGAAGGCATCCATGGGCTGGGTTTCTCCCGCAGCCCACAGTAACCTGGGCCTGATTCCCAGACTCAACAAGGACTCAGAAGCCAGCCACGAAGGGGCTGCAGGAGACACAGGCCCCTGCCCAGGCGAGACCACACGACTCACCTTGAGACATGAAGAAGGGGATGCGGAAGCGGCCCTCCAGCACCCGCTGTCTCAGCGTCGGCAGGTTAGGCCCATCGAAGGGGAGAGAACCGCAGACCAGGACGTACAGCACCACGCCCAGGCTCTGTTGAGGACCACAGAGCCACATCAGCGCCAGGGCGGTGCCCCCGGGAACACGGCGCCCTCGGGGAACGCGGCCTCGGGAAGGGGGTCTGCGCGCACAGGGCTCCTACCCAGATGTCCAGCTGGGGGCCTTCATACTCCTTCCCCTCAAAGACTTCCGGGGCGGCATACGGGGGGCTCCCACACCACGTGGACAGAGGCTCTCCTGACTTGTAGAAATTCCCAAATCCAAAATCTGAGCGGCAAAGAAACAGATGGATGAGGTTAAACGGCAAATGGCAAGGGGCTGCGGTTTCGGCACAGGGGCTGTGGTTTCGGCACATGCCGGGAAGCTGGGGCTGCTTGCGGGCACACTCCCACCCCGGGGCCTCCGTGCCTGCCAGCTTGATGTCCCTGCTCCCACCCCGGACCCTCCGTGCCTGCCAGCTTGATGTCCCTGCTCCCACCCCAGACCCTCCGTGCCTGCCAGCTTGATGTCCCTGCTCCCACCCCGGACCCTCCGTGCCTGCCAGCTTGATGTCCATGTTGCCATCCAGCAGGAGGTTCTCGGTCTTGAGGTCCCGGTGGACGATGTGATGGTCGTGACAGTACTCCACGGCCGACAGGATTTGCCAGAACTTCTTCCGCGCCTCGTTCTCACTCAGGTGCCCGTTGGAAGTCAAATAATCTGAGGAGCCACAAAACAAAGCTACAGCCCCCAGGGCAAAGCCTGCCCACCACCCATGGAGCCCTGGGGAACACCGCGGGGTCCTGGGATGTGTGGCCCAGACACTGGCCGCGCAAATCCAGACGCGTTCGTGCCATTGGTTTTCAACAGATACTGAAAACGAGTGTGGCTTACCAAACATTTCTCCATTTTTAGCAAATTCAGTGACGATGTAAAGCATGTCCTTTGTTTCCATAACCTAAAGAAGAAAGACCTGACATTTAACCGCACAAAAAAGGCACAAGGCAGCGCTACAAACCATCCACCAGAACCCCAGGAAATTTCTAACTTCTCTAGGACAAAGGCATTCATCATTTAAAAATGCAAAGAAAAAGAAAAATTTCTCAAATAAAAAAAAAATAGGAGATTCCTACTCACAAAGACAGCTTTGAAAAATCAGAGGTGAATTCCTCACTGACTTGCCTATCCTGATACACCTTTGCTCTCACAAAAGGTCTAAATATATTAGAATTCCCCTCTGTGGTCATATTTAATTCAAGACACCTCACATACAATTTGAGAATGCTTAGGCCGGGGCATGGTGGCTCACGCCCTGTAATCCCAGCACTTCGGGAGGCCAAGGCAGGAGAATCGCTTGAGTTCGAGACCAGCCTGGTCAACACGGCAAGACCCCATCTCTACAAAAAATACAAAAACTAGCTAGGTGAGGTGGTGGGCACCTGTAATCCCAGCTACTCAGGAGGCTGAGGCAAGAGGATCATTCGAACCCGCAAGGCGGAGGTTGCAGTGAGCCGAGATCGTACCACTGCACTCCAACTTGGGCGACAGAGCGAGACTCCATCTCAAAAAAGGAGAGACAGTATTCTGAAGGCTACAGAGGAGGAGATTGCTGGAAGTCTGCTGGGCTTTATAGAAGCCTAGTAGGCAACAGATGATTCCAGCCAACGGTCAGAGCCACCTGGGTAATAGAGAATGCACACCCCATTCCCACTCGCTTGATTGACAGGATGAATGACGCTGTGGGAACCCAGCTTTATTGACAGGATGAATGAGGCTGTGAGAATCCAGCCTCATTCACTCAGCATGTAGCCATTCACTCAGCATGTAGCCACACAACAGCCATGCCAACATAGCCCTTTGAAGTTCATTCACTAATCAATAACTTTATTTTACTTAAAAAGAGATTTAAAAATATAACTTATGTCTGTGAGTATTGAAAAATTTTGGAGAGGATGAGGCAATATATTCTTATGAAAAAAGATTTTTTTGGGTTCAAAATATAGTTATTCCTTTAAAAAGATGCTTTGTGCTGGAGGTGGTGGCTCATGCTTGTAATCCCAGTACTTTGGGATCACCCAGGCTGATCACTTGAGGTTAGGAGTTCGAGACCAGCCTGGTCAACATGGTGAAACCCCATCTCTACTAAAAATACAAAAATTAGCCAGGTGTGGTGGCGCGTGCCTGTAGTCCCAGCTACTTGGGAGGCTGAGGTAGGAGAATCGCTTGAACCCAGGAGGTGGAGGTTGCAGTGAGTCACGATCCATAGCGCCACTGCACTCCAGCCTGGGCGACAGTGAGACTCCATCTCAAAAAAAAAAAAAAAAAAAAAAGATGCTTCAAAGATTGCTGCTTTGAGTTATAAATCTAAAAAGAAAAGTGTTCTATAAATTCTAGCAGTTTGGCAAGAATTTTAACTGCCCCGCCCCTGTGGGTGGTACAATAACTCTAAGACCACTGCTGACCCGTCCCCAACTGAAGAAAGGGAGGAGGAGGAAAAGAATTAAAAGTCAAAGTGTTTGAACTTTTTGAAAACTTGAAAAAAAGAGGGAAGTGTCTCAGCAGGGTTCTGGGGCCCCGGCCAGCGGAATGAAAATTAGACACTAGTGGCCGGGCGCGGTGGTTCATGCCTGTAATCCCAGCACTTTGGGAGGCCGAGGCGGGCGGATCACAAGGTCAGGAGATCC
Organism: Homo sapiens; assembly: GCF_000001405.40. NCBI lineage: Eukaryota > Metazoa > Chordata > Mammalia > Primates > Hominidae > Homo > Homo sapiens. The sequence goes on from NC_000021.9 coordinate 43,423,764, forward strand.
AGACTATCCTGGCTAACACGGTGAAACCCTGTCTCTACTAAAAATACAAAAAATTAGCTGGGTGTTGTGGCGGGCGCCTGTAGTCCCAGCTACTTGGGAGGCTGAGGCAGAAGAATTGCTTGAACCCAGGAGGCGGCAGTTGCAGTGAGCCGAAATCGCGCCACTGCACTCCAGCCTGGGTGACGGACAGAGACTCCGTCTCAAAAAAGAAAAAAAAAAAAAAGACAGGAAGAAAGAAAGAAAAGAAAGAAAATTAGACATTAGCATCAAAACCAGAGGAGTAAAAGTCATTGCTACACCACTGAATTCTATCATCTCCCAACAGTTAAGAATCACATACAGCAGCAGTAAGAAAATGCACCTCCAGAAAAGACCTCAGCAGCAAACACATGGGCAATTTGTTTCTTTAACGGAGCTAATTCCACACAATGGGCAAAGGAGAAGAACAGGAAGAAAAGGAAGGTACTACCATTAGGGTTCAGCCCTTGAGCAAAGTCAAAAACAAAACCAGCTCAGCCCACTCCTGAGGAAATGGGCTGGGCACGCTGCACAGGCAGTACACCAGTGGCCATGGAGCACACAACTTAAAAATGACAACAGAAACAAAACACAAACCAGGCGCACACGGCATGAATTCTGTGCTTAAAGACACTGAGCAAACTGTCGTAAGCTCCACCAATACTGCTACTTTTATTTTCAATCTAGTGCAGAGGCTTTTGGGGGATAATTTCGAATCATAATTCTCTCTCCTACCACACTGTACACCGAGCTGTCCTAATTGCACAAACACACACAACAACATCCCAGAGTCATCTCACATTCCATTTCATAAGAATCATTACGAGGAACTTCAACCCAACACAAATGGATGAAATAGCACCTGCAAAGAACTTCTTCTGCAAGAAGACTTGATTTCACCTTGCAAAAGTGGTCATTTGTCATTAGGGAGGTGTAAATGATTGCTTTGCTGTTCTAATTAAATTAGTACTTATTTCCTGATGATATAATTTATTAATTTCAACATGAGAACAAAAATTAAGTCACAAAATAAACCAACAGAGAGACAGGGCAAGCCATGTTCCTAGCATGGATTAAATGACAAGCTCCTTGCTCTTACTATGGAAAAGTATTTTCATCTCTCCGTTTTTCATGGAAGAGTTTAAATAGGGAAAACAAATGCTCACTACTGTCCTTGCAAAAATAAACTAATGAAAACCAGTAAGAGCAGCTGGCTTTAAAGTTTAATAATTATCTGCAAAGGCAGAAGTTTCCAGTTTCACTCAAATTTGTCCTTTTATACTAAATGCGTGACCTGTGGCAATACCTACAGATAAGTTTGTCTGTTTTCATAGTAAAGCAAATTTACAACAGACTTCTACACATTTAAAACTGGATCAGGTTAGGATACTAAATAAAATTCTAATGAAGCAAATCTCAATTATGATCCAAAAGCAATAAAATAATTGTAAATATATCTGCACAGCCTATAAAAATCAATCTATTTACCTTATACAACCAAATGCCCAACTTCCACACACTCCCCAAAAGGGAAGCCACCTTCAGAAATTGCAGACTTATGCTGTTGGAAATAAAATATAACACATTTGCCAGGATTAGCAGAGAAAGGCAAGCTGACCCCTTACCTGGTAAAGCTTTATGATGTGTGGATGGTTCAGAAGCTTCATCAGCTGAACCTCACGATAGATTTTCTCCAAATTGCTTGAATCTAATCGTGTTTTATCAATTATTTTTATTGCAACCTACAAATTTAAAAAGAAAAAGGATATTCTGTGGGTTTTTTTAAAAAAAGAAAAGAAACCCTCAACCTAATTTACACATTTCATTTTTTGCAAGTTAATTTCTCAACACTCTGTCTCCAGAAGGTCACAAGAAGTTGGGAAAACATAACCAAAGTAACCACTAATGTTATTTAAAATAATCAGAGTTAAGTAAGTGACTTAAGTATTTGCAGGCTCACTTTACAGGGTTTAGCTCTGAGTCCATGAACCACTGCAATCTTAGGTTGGTCCTTTTTTTTGCTATTATCCTCTCTGCTTTCTCCCAATATATGTCCAAATTATGCAGCAACATAATATAAAGCATTATTTTTCTTTACCGAACTAAAAACGGTTACTATTTACCCACCACGACAATCAAGCCTGGAGCAGTGAATCTGCATGGGGTCCACCCGCCAAAGGTCGGGTCGCCCCGGGTCCAGTGGGGAGGCCCCGCCGGCTGGGTCCCACCGCCCCCACGCACCTGCGTTTTGGTGACTCGATGCCGCGCCAGCTTCACCACCGCGAAGTTGCCTTTGCCCAGGGTCCGCTCGATGTCGTAAAAACCCACCCGGAGGGGCTTCTGCTGGCCCTGACCCTGGCCCGCGGGGTCCGCGCTGAACTCCGACATGATAACCATGGCTCCGCGCGCACCTGCGGGGCCGCACAGAGCTCAGAGCCCACCAGCGCCCCCGCCGCCCGCGGTCGGCTCCATCCGTGCCCGCGGAGCCCCCAGTCCCCACGGGACGCAGGGACCTGCTCCCACGCCTGTCGCCCCCACTCTATCCACGGGCCCCTCCAGCCCCGTGGGAGGTGTGGACCCGCCCCCGCCGCCCGCTCCACCCGGACCCCCGACCCTCTTGAGCCCCGCGGGGCGCACGGACCCGCTCTCATAGAGGCCCCTGCCGCCCGAGTCCGGTTCCGTCCCGATCCCGGGACCCCCTGAGCCGGGATTCCACACTCGCCTCCCGCCGCCCGCTGTCGGTTCCGTCCCCACCCTCGACCCCTTTAGCACCTCTGGGCGCGGACCCGCTCCCACACCTGGCCCTGCCACCCGAGGTCGGCTCGATCCGGATCCCAGGACCGTCCCCTGCCCCGCTCCCACACCCTGCCCCCGCCGCCCGCGATCCGTCCGGTCCCCACCCCCGACATCCCAGGCACCTCGGGGATCGCGGACCCGCCCCCCACACCCGGTATCTCCGCCCGCGGTCGGCTCCAACCTGACCCCCGGCTCCCCAGCCCCTGAGCCCCGCGGACTCACTCCTACCCCGGCCCCCCAACAAAGGGGAGCCCGAGGGCGGCCAGGCCGCCAACCCCGCCCGCGAACCCCGCGCGCGCAAGGCCAGGGACCCTGCGCGGTGGCTGCAACCCCGAGCCCCGGCCCGGCGCCCGCGCGGAGCCCCCACGGCGGCCACCTCCGCCCGCCCGGAGCCCGCCGCTGCCGCCGCTGCCGCCGCTGCCGCCGCCTCACCTCCGCCGCCACCGGAGCGCCCAGGCCAGGAAGCCGCCCGCTCGGCCGCTGGCGCTGCTCGGGTGCCTACTGCTCCGGCTGCCGCCGCCGCTGCTGCTGCCTCCGGGGCCGCGCCGCATGTCAGCCCGGAGCCGCCGCGCTCCGCCGCACGCGGCGCCCGGCCCCGCCCCGGCCCGCCCCGGCCCGCCCCCCGTAGTCCCCGCCCCCTGCCCCGCCCCCGCCGCCCGGGCGGGGGCCGCCCATTGACGTCGCTTTGACGCCAGAGCGACGCGCGGCCGAGCGCCGGGCGGAGGGAGAGCGGGAGATCGGGCGGTTGCCAAGAGACTGGCGGCTCTGACGCGCGCGGGATGAGGCCGTTGCCCTGGCGACCGCGGGCCGGTGACGTCAGGGGCGCCCGCCGCCCGAGGCCCGCCCGCCTGCGCTCCGCCGGGCGCCCCCTCCCGGGCGCTGGGGGCACTGCGGGCGGCCCCACCGCCGAGGGCGCGCCCGCCCCTCCACGCTCGGGCACTCGGGCCGGGTCCCGCGGGCGCCTTGTGCTCGCTCCCTCCAGGAGGGGACGGCTCTCGGGCAGGGGTCGCCGGCCCCTCCACGCGGCCTGCGTTCGTCCAGACTCAGAGCCTCGGGACGTGCGGGGGCCCGGGGGCCTCGCGGGCTCGCGCGTGGGGCTGGCGGCGCGGATGCCCTGGGGCGCTGCAGACCCCGAGAGGCCGCTTGCCCGCGGGGACGTCAGCCGCTTTTGCTGTTAAAATCTGAAATGTTCAGCAAGTTAGAAACTTGAAACCTAAGGAAGCGTGACCGGCCGCTCTGGAAGCCCCCGCCGCGCGGCCGGTCCCGGCCCCGGCCCTCAGCGGCGCTGGCGTCTGCGCGTCCCGGGGCTGCCCCCGCAGCATGTGGGGCTGGGACCCTCTTCCCGCGCGGGCCCCGGGCGGACGCTGCGGGCGGTGACGGAGCCAGGCCGGCCGCCTGGGTAGGGGACGGGGGCGCGGGACCACTTGCTTGCCCGTGGCCGATGCCTCATCCGAACGGAAAACGTTTTCTTCAGGGGAGACAGAGGCTGTGGGCGAAGGTATTTTTTAAGCCTGAGGACCCATTTGGGAGTTAGATTCTGGATCGAGCCTAGGGTCAGTTTTCCTTGTGTTAAATAACACTACTTCACAGAAGGGGGAACGAGAATTCAGGGGAGTTGGCACAAAACTTGGAACCCTTCTCGGGAGGCTTTCCTGCCTGGACGGACGCCTGGGAGGAGGGCCCGGAGAAACGAGGATGAGCTTCTCCTCATTCGCCCGAGGGTCTGACCACAGATTTCCCAATCGCCACACACACACACACACACACACACACACACACACACACACGGGTTGTTTGGGAGTCAGTTGGTTTTCAAAGGCTTTCAAGGAAATGAAGAGTCCCAAAGTTTTCCTTAATCGTTCAGAGTGTTTTTCTTTGTCCCAGGTTTATATACCAAGAATACGGGGGAATATTTTTAGTTCCTTTCAGCTGAACAGTGTACAACTGCCTTTTTTCCTTTTGGAGGTCCCAACACCCTGTTAATCCGCTCCTAGGAGAACTAAACAAAAACAAGGCTGGACGTCGTGTCTCCCGCCTGTAATCCCAGTGCTTTGGGAGGCTGAGGCAGGAGGATCAGTTGAGCTCAGGAGTTTGAGACCGGCTTGGTTAACATAGCAAGACCTCACCTCTATAAAATACTTTTAAAATAGCCAGGTGTGGTGGCACACGCCTGTGGGGCCGGCTACTTGGGAGCCTGAGGTGGGAGGATGGCGTGAGCCTGGGAGGTTGAGGCTGCAGTGAGCTGTCATTGCACCACTGCACTCCAGCCTGAGCAAGAGAACAAGGCCCTGTCTCAAAAAAGAACAAAGATAAAAGGCGGGGTGGGGGAGAAACCAGGCCCCTGATCACACTCACCATTCAGTCCCTCAGCCTGTGACTTGAAATACTGCCCCCCGCATCCAGGAAGCAGGCTTCCCCACCCCTCCCACCCTAGCCAGAGTCTTCCAAAAGGTCTTAGGTATTTGCAAACACCTGGCTGGCTGTTTGGAAACATTGCATCAGCACCAAATAAAAACTGCAGCCAAAACTGCCTCCGCAGAACAGGTCCCCAAACTCAGGTGCACTTGACCTTTCACCCTGACCCAGCCCTGAGCTTCCAAAACCCAGAACAGCCCTGTGCCAACCATGGCCATCCTGTTTTCCCTTCCCTGGGCCCGTGGGCAAGGAGCTCGCTCTGCAGAGAAAGGCAGGAAGCACAGAGGAAAAGGCCAAGCTTGGAACGGCTGTCCCGTCTCCCCACTGGGGGAACCCCTGGCACCCTCATAACTAAGTCTGTGCTTCAACCTGGTCTCTGTTACCCAATGTCTTTTGTTGTTGTTTGTGTCCTTGACCCCCCGAGGCTGTATTTCCTCTCAGAAGCTTTGATTTCTTTTCTGTTTTCTGGTCTTCCGTGCCTTTAACACGAGGAAAAATAAAACACATGGTGTGAGTGTAAGGATGGTACAAGCAAATGATTGGAGAAGCTCCTCACTGAACATAATGGAAGGAATGCTCCCAAAGTCTGCAGGAACGGTACTTTATTATTATGGTTTGCATATTATTACAGATTTGTGGAAAACGGCAAGTCAGTTTTCCTTTCCACATGGACTTTCTTCAGCTTGTCTTATGATTGCCGTGTTTCTGGAGTTCATCTTGTTTTTTAGGCCTTAAGACTGGAAACCCCAACAGGAAATGGGTCCATTTATTATTCATAGTTGTAACGCTGGCCACTGGCATGTCACAAAACTCTCAAAATCAATTGATAAACACAGAGAATGGAGCGTGGGGCAGCATTTTTGCAAAGGGATGGGTGCCCAGCTGGCCCCAGTGCCGCCCTCTGTGAGGAAGGAATCTCCCAGTGCAGCCAGGAGTCAGACGAGTTCCTCTTCCCGACCCTACCCTCCCATCTTCGACGCCTAAGGCCCTTCCCTGTCTTCCTGGCTTTGCTTCAGGTGGTTTTGTACTTTTTAAATTTTGTTTTGGTTTGTTTAGGCTTCAGCCTAGCGGCTTTAGGTGCCAGAAAATCAGATTAACCACTGCAGCGGCATCCTTCTCAGGGACCCGGGGGCCACGTTGGTCATTTTGCCCCATTGTATCTGGAGAGCTTGACAGACAGACATGTGTGCACTAGGTCAGGAAGCCACGGCCCTGGCCTGGGAAGAGGGCAGGTAGGAGAAAAGCCCCCAGCCCCCTCCACCCTCAGGGAATGGCCCAGTTGTCCACAGGTTAAGTCAAGAATCCCCCGCGAACAGGTCAAACCAGAGACTGCCCAGTCCCAGCGTCCGCCCCCAGGGCATTGCTTCCTTCACCTCCTACACTTGGCTCCCTGTGGTTCCGTGGCTGCCACAGTTGTGTGGATCCTACCGGGCCCAGGGCCCCTCCCCATCTCAGACAGCACCCACTTTCAGGCTAGGCCTTCCACGGGCTGCTTAAATGGACCACGAAGGCCGGCAAAGCAGCAGAAACGTGCCTGTTCACGGGCCAGTCGGCCCTCCCCGCTCCAGCCCTCTAGGGTTTCTGGTTCCGGTTTCTGTCGCTGCCGTTAGTGAGGAATTATTCATGTGGCCAATGCGTTTTCTTGACATTTAAGCAGGGCTGTGGCCGATATCAAGGCTGAGGACCCAAGAGGCCTTTGGGTGTCTGTGTCCCTGAGCCATATGCTGAGGTCGGACGGCGGGGGAGGGGGGTGCAGGAAGGGGCCAGCCCCAGCGAGAGTCAGCCAGGCCCCAAACAGAGCCAGGGGTTCCCCCGGGGGGGAGTGCTCACTTAGGAAGAGCACCATGGACAGCCTGGCAGGAGGTCACCCTGTGCTGAGCAGGCAGCGCTGGAGTAAACCACCTGCCTCTCTGTAGGAAGAAGGAAACCGCATCCGCAAACGGAGCAAAGGTCCCCAGAGGCAGAGCAGAAGCCTCTGGGATGCTGCAGCTTTGTGCAGACACTGGGGACCAGGACTGGAGCAGGTGCTGGCCGTGCTCTTTATCCTGGGCACTCTGCCAGGGCCACACGGAGCGTGGCTCCCGGGAGATGGAGACGTCTGAGTGTCAGCTCAGGTCTCGGTGTTTCCAGGTGACATGCTGGCTGCTAGTGTAGAGCATGGTAAACCATCTTTTTTTTTTTTGGTTACTATTTACTTATGCAAAATAATGTGAGTTTCTGCCATTTGCAACAAGTGTGCCAGCTGCAATGAGTCAGCGGGTGGACACAGGTGAGCATGGCCAGACTGTGCCAGAACATGGTGACAGACAGACATGCTTCGAAGTTCACTGTGGGAAGGGACAGGTCCCCAGAGAGAGGTGAGACGGTGCAACGCGAGGGTGAGTTCGGAGTCATCCTCCAGATGTCCACAAAGGCTCGAGAGGCCCTGCTGTGTGTCAGGCACTGCGTGAAGGTTGTGGGCACAGTAGGAGGGACACAAGACACCTTCTCTCGAGGACCGTTGGTTCCAGTTGCGGAGACAGTAACAGCATAAGATGATGAGTAAGAAAAGAATGCTGGCAGGAAAGTGGCCATGGAGGGAACTGCTTCCGGGCCTCTCCGTGGGATTTGCCAGGCGTGGACTGAGCGAGGACCTTCCCTGAGAACACCAACTGCTCCAGGAGAGAGAAGAGGTGGAGCCCCGGCGGGGGGCATGGGGCAGGAGGCAGCCACCCACACCTTCCCTCTCTGAATGCTGAGCAGAGGCTCTCAGCAGAGGGGAAGAAGAGCAGAGGCCACGATTGGGAAGACAGACCCAGTGGGGGTCCTTGGCGCCGTCCACATCCATCTGCAACCTGCTGCCCAGCGCCTGCCTGCCCGGGGTGTGCACAGAGCAGTGTGGTCTGTCCCGGCTTCACGGCCTGACACGGCCAGGCGAGGATGACAGGGAAAGGGAGGCAGGGACTTGGGGCTGTTGGAGCCAAGCTGAGGAGCAAGGAGCTGCGATGGGAAGCGGGTGGCAGGAAGGAGCGTGAGGCCTGTGGGTGGAAGGTCTCTGGCCTTGGAGATTGAAGCGTTTCACTTGTGCATCTCACAGCCCAGAGAAGCCAAGCCCGGACCATGGGGGAGAGAGGAGGACCCCCGTCTCAGGGCGGGCTGAGGAGACGCTCTCTCCACGGCTTCCGGATGGGTCTCCCTCCATCTCAGCTGCATCTATGGGAAAACGATGAAATGCTCCCTCCACTGCCGGGCCTTCTCTTATAAAGCAGGTTTCTTCGAAGTATAAAAATTAATAGAAAAGGTTCCATAGAAAATCAAGAAAGTAAGTATGTAAAGATGAAAACAAAAAGCACCGGAAATGCTCTTCATAGCTGACGTTTTCTTATTCACTTTTTATTAAAACAGGATGAGGCGTCCTGCCTTTTCCAGCCTTATCTAGGAAGTGTCTTGCCAGGTCACCAAATGGCAAGCAGAACCGTAAGCTGAAGTTGTCTGCCTAGAATTCCACTGTGGCAATGTTCAGCATCCCGACTGGACAGCTCCGTGCGGCGGCATCGGGGGCGCGGCGGCATCGGGGGCGCGGCAGCATCGGGGGCCCTTTTCATGCCATTCAAGGCCCCGTGGAAACAGACACCACAGCTCAGCATGAGACTGTGGCCCCACCTGACCTGGCTCATCCATCCCCAGCCTCTCGTGGTCCCCGGCCCTATGCCGACATTTGGCACTCGATGAGCCATTTCTCCACATTTCAGGAGCCTTGTTTTAAGACAGCCTGGCTGTCTGAGAGCCACCGGAGTCGAGACTGGATGCCCGGCCTGGTGCCCGTGGGCCAGCACCGCCTGAGGAGGAGGGGTCTCTGGAGGCCACAGGCAGAGCCACTGAGAGGGATCTTTAAGCAGAGGGCCCCACACACCTCCTGGGACCCACGGGTGTGGCTGCCATGCAGGGTCTGGGAGCTACAGAGAGTCGGGAACCAAGGGCGCGGTGGCTCACACCTGTAATCCCAGCACTTTGGGAGGCCAAGGATCACGAGGTCAGGAGATCGAGACCATCCTGGCTCATACGGTGAAACCCCATCTCCACTAAAAATACAAAAAATTAGCCGGGCGTGGTGGCGGGCGCCTGTGGTCCTAGCTACTCGGGAGGCTGAGGCAGGAGAATGGAGTGAACCCGGGAGGCAGAGGTTGCAGTGAACCCAGATTGCCCACTGCACTCCAGCCTGGGCAACAGAGCGAGACTCCGTCTCAAAAAAAAAAAAAAAGAAAGAAAAAAAGTAAAAACAAGAGAGTAGGGAGCCAAGTCCCTGGGTTGCCAAGTCAATCCGTGGAAGCCCCTGACTTCGAGCAGGACACAGGGCCCTAAGGACAGCCCCAGCCCCTGCAGTGTGGCCTGCAATGGGTGTCATTCATTTTGACCTGGCTGTTGTGGTTTTGGGTGGTATTGTTATTTGTTTGAAAAGAAAACACATGGGCTGCGTATGGCATGAGCAAGTACAGACGTCATTGGGATCGGCTAATGAAAATGACAGAGTACTCTAAAGTGACACCTTACAGGGACGTGGTGATGTGGCACCAGGCCCAGTGGCACCAGCACACCACCGTCTCGCTGGCATTTCCACCGTGGTCCCTGTTAAACCAGAAAGAACGAAAGTGTGATGGGGAAAAATAAGTATGTGTTTCTTGTAAAACACAGCTCATTTCAAAACTACTGAGAACAAGGGGACAGTTTGAAATTGGGCAGAGCCCCTTGGGACCAGCTGGACCAGGAAGAAGGTCCAATCAGCTCTTCCTCAGGGCCAGGAATCTCTCGGTCACTCCGAGGCCTGGAAGAAAGTTTCCAGAACCTTTTTTTGCACAAATAAACTGCAGATCTGAAATCAGCAAGAAGGTTCAGGACCTGGGCCCCCAGGATTGGAACCACGGGAGTCTCAGATCCTCAAACTAGCTGGGTTTGCTTCAGTTTTCTCAGGTGGGACGGGCCACCCTGGGTTTCCCAGGGTGATGTCCCAACAGTGGAGGTGAGATGTCACAGAATGGAGGATGTGATATGATCTGTAACATGGAATCCAGCAGAAGCTCCAGCACTTAAAAGACAGGAAGCAGTGGAGGGCCTGGGTGTCCCAGCCTTCATCATTCCCTCACCTGGAGCAGTTGGTGTCCTCAGGGAAGGTTCTCATTCAGTCCATGCCTGGCAGATCCCATGGAGGTGCCCGGGTGATTCTGGCACAAGGGCTGGAAGATTCCTTCTTTGATCCCTGCTGGTGGCCGGAGCTGGCTCACAGGCCTGGGGCTGCTCAGCTGCAGGACAGTGGGAGGAGGTGGGCTCTGGGTTCCTCAACCCGGCTCACAGCCCTGCTCCGACTGTCCCTGCTGGGCACCCCTGGCGGTGATATCATCAGCCTGGGCCTCCGTTTCTTTTTTCTTTTTTTTCTTTTTCCTGAGACGGAGTCTTGCTCTGTCTCCCAGGCTGGAGTGCAGTGGCACAATCTTGGCTCGCTGCAACCTCCACCTCCCAGGTTCAAGTGATTCTCCTGTCTCAGCTTCCCGAGTAGCTGGGACTACAGGCATGCACCACCACGCCCAGCTAATTTTTGTATTTTTAGTAGAGACGGAGTTTCACCATGTTGGCCAGGCTGGTCTTGAACTCCTAACTTCAGGTGATCCGCCCACCTTGGCCTCCCAAAGTGCTGGGATGACAGGCGTGAGCCACTGCGCCTGCCCTCCATTTCTTTATGAACAGTGTGTGGTCCCAGCATCCTGAAGTTGGTGTGAGGTGCAGGTGGGACGGCTTTGGGGCAGGCCCCAGTGCAGACGGCCCTGCTGCTGCCCCTGCCCGTGCCGCTGCCCCTGCCCCTGCTGCTGCCCCTGCCCCTGCCCCTGCCCCTGCCGCTGCCTCTGCCCCTGCCCCTGCTGCTGCCCCTGCCCCTGCTGCTGCCTCTGCCCCTGCGTTCCTGAGCAGGCCACCATGCTACTCTTTGGGAGTCCTTTTTCTTCTTTTTAAATGAGGCTTGATTGGCTTAGGGAGAAACAGGAGACACCGCATACCATGCAGTTAAAAATGAAACTCGGATTAAATGAATATTGAATTCAGTACTGTACTGGCTTCCTAGAGCTGCTGAAATGCAAACTGGGGGCTTAAAACCACGGAGACGTATTCCCCCACAGTTCTGGGAAGTAGAAGCTCGAATGCCTGTTGGCAGGGCTGAGCTCCTCTGCAGGCTGTGGGGAAGGACCTGTCCCATGCCTCTCCTGGCTCCTGGTGGCCGCTGGTAAGCCTTGGTGTCCTGTGGCTTGTAGACACATCTCTCCAAGTGCTGCCTCTGCCTCCATCTCCGCGTCTTCCTGCCGCCTCCTTATAACGACGGCAGCCATTGGAATGGGGGCCCACCAAAATCCAGTCTGACTTTGTCTTCATTTAACTGATGATATCTTTAAAGATCCTGTTTCCAAATAAGGTCACATTCTGAGCATCCAGGGGATGCGAGTTTTGGGGAGACTCGATTCCACCAACACCAGCATCGAAGAGGGCAGGGCACAGAGATGAAGCTAAGGTCCAGGGCGCACACACTGATGGGCACCCTTGAAATAACGGCAAGGTTGGTACGGGCACATCTCGATCGGAGGGGCCGAGGGGTGAGGGAGGGTGGGGAGGAGACTCCCAGAATGGGAGACACCAGCTAAGCAGTGGGGCTGGGAGAGGGCTCCAGGATAACAAGCAGTTGGGCGGGGGACGACACAGGAGAGCACACAGCGGGGGAGCAGGGCAGGGGACGACAAGGGAGAGAACACGGCCAGCCCAGGATCCTCGCCCTGCCTTCGCCTCGAGCCCCAGACCAGACTCACCCTGACGATGCCTGCTCCCCATCTACTGCCTCCAGGGACCCCCTATGGGTTCCCCCACTCATAAAGAATGCCGAGGAGTTAGGAATAGGACAAGCACGTGTCCCTCAAGGCTACTGTTGGGATGCCCAGGACTTGTCTGAGCCCTTCTCTAGACCGGCTGCTCATCCACCCGCTGCCTCTAAAACCAGGTAAGAGAAGGGGAGAGAGAGGGTCAGGAGATGCCCTGGCCCAGGAGCAGAAGCTCCCCTGGAGGCCTCGGTCTGTGGGCCTCCTGCAGGCTGCACAGGGGGGGCCACAGCTGTCCTCACCCAGGGGCCATGCCCTCCCAAAAGGAGGCCACCAGAGGCCCCTTGTCCCACATTTTTGGAGTGTGGACAGCCAAACTGGGTCATTCAGACCCAACCTGGTCACTGTGGAGGGAATGGGCTGTGCCCCACTCCCCACCCAATACCAGGCCGAGGCCAGCAGGTCTGAGGGTCCCTGTGGAGCTCTGTCCTGCCCCAGCCCCGGCCAGCTGTCCTACTGGCTCCTCTAGTCCTCTTCTTAGGTAAGGCTGAGAAAGTGGGTCAAAGGCAACAACCTCAGAGCCTCTGGCCGCTCCTACCTGAAGGGCCGGGGCTCTGTGTGGGTGAAGACCGGCAGCTTCCTGGAGTAACCAGAGGGCTGAGCCTCCTCCTTGACTTGTTCGGAGTGTTTCTTCACTGACCGGTTTACCTGGGTGTGCATACGGAGGGTGAGCCACTGGAACAGTGAAAGCGTCCACCCTTCACTGAGTCAGTCCCTCTCCCGGAAGGGGCCAGGGACAGGGCAGGATGGCTGGGCATTGCAGGAGATTCTTCCCCTCTGGCCACATTCTCCCCATGCTGGGGAGGTGGGGGTCAGAAGCCCACCAAACAGACGGGGAAGTAGGGACAGGTGAGCCAGACCGGATAGTGGGGCACCACCCTGTCCCTGGGAACCCCCATGACTGCCTCGTCTCCATCCCCTCTAAAATGCCAGGTCCACAAAACCACGGTGAGATGCCACCGCACACCCATTGGGATGGCTACCATCAAAACACAACAGAAAATTACAAGTGTCTGCAAGGAAGTGGAGAAGCCGGAGCCCTTGTGCACTGCTGACGGGAATGTGAATGGTGCAGTCGCTGTAGGAAATGGTCGGTGAGTCCTCAGATGGCATGGTGATCCCACAGGCAGTTCACACGAGCAGGAGGTGGGACACTCAAACATCCATCCACAGATGAATGGAGACACAGAATGTTCCACAAAATGGAATATTACTCAGCCTTAAAAAGGAAGGAAGTTCTGAGACATGCTACAACACAAAGGAACCAGGAGGACATCATGCTGCGTGAACGAAGCTGGTCCCAAGAGGACAAATGCCGTATGGTTCCACGTGCACAAGGTCCCTGGAGTACTCAAATCCACAGAGGCAGAAAGTAGAGTGGGAGGTGCTGGGGCTGGGGGAGTGAGTGTTTAATGGGTTCAGAGTTTCAGTTTGGGAAGAGGGAAAAGTTTGGAGGTGGATGGTGGTGATGGTTACACAGCAGTGTCAATGAACTTAACGTCACCAAACTGTGTGCTTTCAGATGGTTAAAATAGTAAATTTTATGTTATGTGTATTTTACTGCAATAAAAAAATGTTAAGCCAGGTCCCATAGTTCAGCAAGAACCAAAAGGGCCACAGGACCTCCCAGTAGCTCCCTGCCCCGTCCTTAGAAACCTGAGCCCCCTCTGGCACGGAGGGAGGCCTGGCACAAGAGGCTGGCAGTGGGGTGGGCCTTGGCAGCCCACCTGCAGCCTGGCCTGGGCTCCACATCTGCGAGGACTACACCGGGTGCTCCCAGGAGCTCCGAGTTCTCAAGAGACACCTCAGCTTTCTCATCCCCAAAACCTCCTTCTCTCCATTCGGAGCGTCTCCCCTGAACCCGACATGCTTCCCCAGTGGGAACTATGCTCTCCCCTGCCCCACCCCGGTGGACGGGTCCTGCTGCTGCCCTGACACCCTGGCACTTCAGGCAGCCACTGGAAGGGCCCAGAACCAGGAGCACAGGTGCTCCTGAGCCATGCCCAGCCACCCCCGGTGGGGGCAAGCTCCGTGGCTGCGCCACGCCCTGGAGGGCTTTAGAAAGCAGCTGTGTTTGCTTTGCCCCTAGATGTCACTTAGAAACAGTGTGTCCCATAATTGTTTTCTGGGGATATTTTTGGCTTTTTTTTTTTTTTTGAGATGGAGTTTCGCCCTTGTTGCCCAGGCTGGAATGCAGTGGCACGATCTTGGCTCACTGCAACCTCTACCTCCCGAGTTCAAGCGATTCTCCTGCCTCGGCCTCCCAAAGTGCTGGGATTACAGGCGCGCCACCATGCCTGGCAAATTTTTGTATTTTTAGTAGAGACGGGGTTTCCCCATTGTGGCCAGGCTGGTCTCAAACTCCTGACCTCAGGTGATCCACTCGTCTCGGCCTCCTAAAGTGCTGGGAAACAGGCATGAGCAACTGCTCCCGGCCATGTCCCATAATTGAATCTGTGCTACCAAATTTATATTTTATAAATATATATTTTTAAAAATTCCAGTTTGTAGCAAAGATGGTACTGTGGTTTGAAAGTGTTCCCCAAAGTTCATGTGTCGGAAGCTTGATCCCCAACATGGCCGTGTTGGGAGATGCGGTCTCATGGGAGGTGTTTGGACCGCAGGGGCACGACCCTCACAAGTGGGTTAATATTTTATTACAGCAAATATATACTAAGTTTGTTGGCCTTTGTTGGGCCTGTTTATTACATCTTGGATTTTCAGTGACTTTTTTTCTTCTACCTGAGTTTAAAACAGTGCACATGAAAGGATTTGGAATTTTAAAACTTTTTTCTTGATGATAAAATTGAATATATGATTATTATAAAAAATATATATGAAAATAATAATACTAACATATAAGAAATAATTCATAATTCTACCACTCAGATATCATCACTCAGTATTTTGGTGCATTTTTTTCTAGTTGAATAGATGTAAATTTTTAAAAAATAAATTTGGATTGTACCCCATATGAACACTCTTATAGCCTTTCTATTTGTAGAAAGAGAATTCCATGTATCATATATAATTTAAATACATTATTCTTAATATCTAATATCTCATGTTTAACATGTAACATTCCCATTTATTTAACATTTCTATTTGTAGACATTATTGTTTCTACACGTTACTATAAACAGTGTTATTGTGAGCATCTTTCCCAAAACTCTTAATTCCTATGTGAAATTTTTCCCTAGGATAAAGGCTTAAAAATGGAATTACCAAGTGAAAGAGGATAAAGTGTCTTAAAGCCTTTGATATATGTTGCCAAACTGCTGGGGCACCCCTGACCTTAAACTGTGCCAACATTTAAGAATTTTCATTTTAAAAATATTTTGCTAAGTTCAGAAGTGGAAAATAATATCTGTATTAGTTTCCTAGGGCAGCCATAACAAAGTATAAAAAACAAGCAGTTCTAAACAACAGAAATGTGTCCTCCCACAGTTCTGGAGCCAGATGTCTGAAATCTGTGTGGGCAAGGCCATGTTCCCTCTTCAGCCTCCTGGCGAGATTCCTTTCATGCCTCTTCCAGCTTCTGGAGGTTCTCAGGGACACCTGTCAGTCGTTGGCTTACAGATCCCTCATCCAGTCTCCGCCACCATCTTCAGATGGGCCGGCTTTTCCTGGGGCCTCCCTCTCTTCTTATAAGGACACCAGGCATTCTGTATTTAGGACCCAGCCTACTCCAGTATGGTCTCACTCTAACTAGTTAATCTGCAACCACCCTATTTCCAAATAAGGCCATGTTCTTAGGTACAGGAGGTGAGGACTTAACATACCTTTCAGTAGGGGGACACAGTTCAATCCGTAATAGCATGCATTTATTGTAATGGGCACTTCTTGGATTTCCTTATGGAAAGTGATTCTTCTCTTCATGTTCATTGGCCATTTGTGTTTGAGTGTCAGTTCTTATTTTCTGCTCCATTTTCTATTAGTGGGTCTCAGTCAAGGCTCCCTTTATTGTGAGAGGCAGAAATGCAACTGAAACTGGTTCAAGCTAAAAGGAGAGTTGGTGGTTAACATAACTAAAGGGCCCAGGATACTACAGGCTTCAGGTTGAGCTCGACCCAGGCTCACACAATGTTTATCTGTTCTATTCCCTTTTTTCAGCAGCATCCCTCAGTTCTACTTCCCTGCCTTGGCTTTGTTCTCAGGCAGGCTCATTCCAGTTTGTAGCAAAGATGGTGCTATGCTTTGAAAGTGCCCCCCAAAGTTCATGTGTCAGAAGCTTGATCCCCATCATGGCAATGGTGGGAGGTGGGGCCTAATGGGAGGTGCTTGGGTCATAGGGGTACGACCCTCACAAGTGGATTAATACCATTATCTCAAGAGTGCGTTCCTTATAAAAGGACAAGTTTGGCCCCATCTTGCGCGCTCTCTCTCTCTCTCTCCCCCTCTCTTTGTGTGTGTGTGTGTGTGTGTGTGTGTGTGTGTGTGTGTGTGTGTGCTCTCACTTTCTCACTCTTGCCCTTCTGCCTTCCACCTTGGGATGCCGCAGCAAGAAGGCCCTAACTAGATGCCAGTGCCATGCTCTTGGACTTCCCAGCCTCCCCAGGACATCTCTGTTCATTATAGATTACCCAGACTTGATATTTTGTTATAGCTGCACAAAGCAGACTAAGACAGGTAGCTAACATCCTACTAGTTCACCGTCTACAGAGAAAGCATATCTTTTCCCTGATAGTCCCAGCCACGGTCCCAGGCAAGCCCTTCATTGGCCAGGTTTATGTCATGTTTAATCTCTGGAGGTGAAGAATTTAGGTCAGCACACCCAAATCACCTGGACTAAGGGCAGGAGGGGGTGGTTTACTGGGGGCTATTACAAAGGAAGGAGCCACAGATTCCTTTGCACGGGCAAAATCAAAAGATGGGCCCCTAGTAAGGAAATGCTTATTTATTCTGAGAACTCTTTTTATATTAAAGGCATGAATCCTTTACCTCTTTCTTCCATGGTTTTTTCTTAGTTATTTGTCTCTGTGGGTTTTTTTTACAGGAGGCCAAACGCTGCCTTGTGAGTGTGGCATTCCTGGGGCACATTTGCCATATAGCATCACTGCATAATAACGTCCAACAGGAGCATATTGCCAAGACACATTCTCTGGGCGTGAACAAAAAAACAAACCTGTGGCTAGTACTTCAGTCAGTGAATTGGCATTCGAAAGCGTGTCGTCATTAGTACAGACGTCAGCGGTGAATGAGAAAGCAAAGAACCCGTGGCTGCACCTAATAAAAGGCCGGCAGGGAGATAAAAGCTACCGTGGTTGTGCAATGATGGGACAAAATGCCCAGGGTCACTGGTCCAGGTGCAGGTTTTGAGTCCTCACTCAAAAATGAGATAAGGAATGTGACTTTGAACTCATTAGCCTTTTGATCAGGCTATGAACTAAAGGCAAATAGAACAGGTGGCCTGACCCCTGCCAGAGACTGGCACTGCCTGCGAGGTAGGAGCTCCCAGGTGGGCAGGGACCAGAGGTCAGTGACTTGGTGCACCCTCCACTCATGGGGCCGGGCCGGCAGTTCTCCCTCCTTCCTCTTCTCCTCCCCCTCCACGGGGGAGATTCTAAAACCCCCAGGAGGATGTCCCTGGTAACACTGCTTCTCCCTTTTCACGTCAGGCCCCAAGCCCTGTTTAGATCCCAGGGTAACAGCACTGAGCAGTGGAAGAGCCCTTGCTACGTGGCCACCCAGCCGTGGGCCCAGGGAGGACGCGTTCCTTTTTGCACAGCTGGCCGGAGAAGCTGCTGTGCGTCAGGGCCAGGCCTGTGGCTGGGAGAGCAACAAAGTGTAGGGAGGGTCACGGGGCAACTGTGGCCCACGTTACTGCCCAGACGGTGCCCCCTGTCCTGGAAGGAGGCGTCCCCTCACAACCCCTGCCCAGGAAGGAGGTGTCGGGGCTGACAGCAGCACCTGGGAGGTGACTTGGAGGGTCTGGGGTTGGGGGGTTGACAAGGGCGTGAACAGTTGGGAGATGGGTGAATTAGAAAGGGGCAACCAAACAAGTCAAGCATCTTCCCAAATGTTTCAAGGTTTAAGAGGGCGTTGTAACACACAATGGTGTGTGAGTGTGTGTGTGTGCACATCCCTCTATGTGCATACATCTCTGTGCACACGTGTGCATCTGTGTGTGATGTACACGCTCACACATGTGCTAGCAGAGGAAGCACAGGGAGAGGCTCACAGGCCTGAGTGACGTCAGAGACAGGTATGGCCCACAGGGCGGTCTGGCAGAAGCTGGCCTGGTACTTGCCTGGCTCCCCGGCCTCACCCCCTAACCCAGGGTGCAGGTTCCAGCCGCCCTCTCTCCAGGGCAGGGCGGGACACCCTGAGTGCTCAGTGGGCTTCTTGGCCCTCAGTCCCCAGAAGGTGAGGGTCCCCATCCTCCTGGGTGCCCCCTACCCCAGCTCCTGAGCCACATGGTCATGGACTGGGGAAGCAGAGTCCAGACTCTAAGGAGGGGTTTCTTTGTCATCTTCCAACTCAGGACCCTTGGGCCAATCGGAGCAGCTCAGCCTCAGTTTCTCTCTTCTTCATCTCCTGTGTACTTGAGGGGCCTCCCGAGGGCTGCTCCCTTCCCAGATGAGGCTGAAGTAAACCCTGTCATACAGGTGGGTGGGTCCCTGGAGGGGACAGGCCATGCTAAAGCCACCAAGCCCCCAAAAGTGCGAAAGGATGAACAGGAGGGCGGCGGGGCAGAGCTGGGTGCCTTGGAGTGGGGTGGGGGCTGGATTCGGGGGTGGGAAGAGCAGAGCACCTTCCCTGCACGGGGAGGGTGCCCCTTCCTCTGCACAGACCCGCCTGCCCCCTCCACTCCGCGTGGCCCAGGGGAGCCAGGCCTGGAAGGATGTCGTGGGCGACGCTAGCTTGGAGTGACTCCTTTTATGGGGAAACTTTGGAACTTCATCTGAGAAAGCCTTGTGCTAACCCAGGGCCCCGCCTCTGGCCAGGGCAAGACAAGGAAGCCATCCACAGTCTTCAAGACTGTTGCTCCCGGGACGGTGCCATTTCCTGTGGGAGCTTCAACACTCAGAACTCACCCTGGCATGCAGGAGGCTCACATGACGCCCTTGTCAAAGAAGCTGATGGGTGATTTAGTGAACAAATGATTCACGAGCAAAGAACCAAAATCTCTCCGTGTGTGCCTGCATCTGTGCTTGCGTGTGTGCGTGTTTGTGTATGCTTGTGTGCACTACACGCAAGTGTGTGTATCTGTGTATATGTTTTCTTGTGCACGCCTATGGATTTGGTTATGTGCAGATATTTGCTTTGTGCACGTGGGCATGCGTAGGTGTGTGCATGTGGGTTTGCCGTATGCATGTGTGTTTGTGTTGTCAGGTGAATGCAGGCATGTACTCGTGTGTATGAGTTACTGTGTGCATGTGTGTGATTTTGTGAGTGCTTGTGTTTGTGTATGCGAGTTTGTGTGTACATGTGTTTGTGTGTGTGGATCCATGCGTATGCACGTGTCTCTGTGGGTGGGTCCGTGTGTGTGCACATGTGTGCTCTCCTTTAAGCTCACCCCTGGCCAAGCCTCTTGGAGCCCAGGGCTGCCCAGGAACTTTGTGGAGCATTTAGGGGTGTTTCAGTCAAGTTGGAAACAGGCTGGGGAGGGATGGATTTGTTGTGACCTGGAGGAGCGGGTAGATGACCTCACCCAGTTGCACACAGAGGGCGTGGGTTAGGCACCATGTACTTAAACTTGGCATTGAAGTAGAATGGACATTCTGGAAGGAGACGTGACAGGGATTTTCACCCCCACAAACGCTCACAAGGGAACTGCCCCCAGGGAGCTGTCCAGATACCCCTCCAACCCTCCAGTCACCCCCACTCCCCTGGAAGCATTATCCACTGCGGGCACTTTGTGTGGCCAGAATGGAGAACCCTGCAGCTTCTTCATGTGGCGTTTCCTCTGCCCACCCTCCCAGCTCCAGCTGGCCCGGTGCCTCCAGGCACCAGCCCTCAGCAGCACCACCCACTCAAGGGTTCATGACAGATGGGTCCAAGCAGGGAAAAGTGGCCCCAAGGACTCTGAGCAGGAAGGGATTGAACACAGGGAAGGGGTATCACAGGACCCAGGATGGGCTGCAGACTCCAGACGGGCCTCCTGGGAGACTCAGGCACAGAGTGCCGCCCCACCAGGCACTGTCACCACGGCAGCCCCCCCGGAGCCGTGCCGGGAGCATAAAGCCACCAGGGCCGCTGCGTTGCCACTGCCTTGCACCCCCGGGAGCTGGGGAACAGACCCGCACAGCCGTGACCACCTGAAAGCCAGATGAGCCAGGGGAAGCAGCTGCGCCTGCAGCCACCCCCACTCCAGCATATGGAGAACGCGGCAGGACAAGCTGGTGTCTCCGTGGGGTGCCCCCGTTGTCCCCACGTCTCACATACACTCGCCTGATGGGTGGCCTTCCCCACATCCGGGACCCTGGCTAGAGTCTGAAAGGCGGCTGCCCACGTCCCAGCTGCCCCTGAGCAGGGAGGCCGGCAGGGGATGCACGGCGAGTTCTCTCAGTGGTCGGCCGGGCCCCAGCCCCCTGGGTGCTGCGAGGGGACCCTGTGAGCCTGCTGATGGCCAGTGAGCCGCGGTCCTCTGGTCCTAGCCGGCCTCGGGTCTGTGGTCCTCCGGGCAGGACGTGTCTGGCAGGCCAGAGGCGGCTCCTGTGTGCGCGGAACAGCCGCTTTTACAGGGGCGTCGGCTCGTGGCGCTGGCAGGGCTTCTGTCGCACCAGCCCTCGGCCCGCGGCAAATGCCGAATGCCGGTGCTGGGAACGGAAGTGGGAAATGACGGGGGGTGCAGGGGAGCGGCCCTGACTGGGACTGTACGGGGACGCATGGGGGTGCGGGCACTTGAGGGAGGAAGCAGCAGAGGGAGGTGTGTGGATGTGTGTGTGTGCGTGACTGGGGTGTGAGCGTGCCCACTGTGGGTGTGCCCGTGTGTGTGGCTGTGAGGCGTGAGTGCAGGCGTGAAGTGTCTGGGAGTGGGAGCGGGCATGAGTGTGTGCCACGGGCCTGCTGTTGGGTCCTTGGAGGCCACGGTTGCCCCTGAAGGGACTGCAAGCTCTTTTTTGATTTGTAGTTATTTGAGAAGTCTATACAGGAAGAAAATTAAACCGCATTTACTAAATACAATAAAATTACAGGAAGACAGAATTGTCCCCAAATTACAAACATGTGGCCCGAGTTGCTCCACGACAGCTCAGCCCCAGACCATGCAGTGGAGATGGCAGCCCCGAGCCCCGGGCCCATCTCCTGCTCCCCACTGAGGTGACACAGGACCCCTGTAAGGCAGGACCCCAGAGCCCCGCACAGGAGGGGGGGCTGTGTGGGGGGAGGGACCCCTGCCTGCTGTCCCTGCCCAGCCTGCGGTCCCGCCCCCACCAGGCAGCGGACCCTGGACTGCTCATGATCACGGCCTCACCTGGAAAGCTGCTATGGGCTGGTCTGAGCCTCTTCCCTCTTTCCGGGAAATCTGAGGCCCACCAGCAGCGGGCAGCAGGTCATGGGTATGGTCGCGGACTTGGAGGCCCAGGAAGGCCACCAAGGAGCAGGAAGGGCCGTGTCCTGGGATCAGAGTCTAGGCCAGAGACCCTTCCCAAGGCTGTCACCCAGGAGGGAGATGATGGGAAGTGACAGTGGGGCCCAGGCTGGAAGTGAGAGGGGCCGGGCCTGTGGCGGAGTAAGAGCTGGCTTGGAGTGGGCAGAGGCCAAGGCAGCCGGGTGGGCACCAGACTTGGGAGATGCTCGGCCTCGCACCGAGAAAGGGGGGGCGCTGGGGCCAAGTGCCCACTGCCCGGAGAGCAGGGCTGGGTCCTCAAGGGCCCCCTGCTTTTGGATGTTGTGCAGCCACTGAAGCTGAAGCCCAGTCGCCCCGGCTCCACGGTCCAGACTCCCAGCAGGTGGCCACCCCTGACCACCTACTCTGAAATCCAGGCACATCCTGGCACCACCCGGCCAAGAGCCCACATGGCCCCGGGGCATTCATCTCACTGGGCAGGGGCAGCCTCCGACCTCATCCCAGCTCAGTAGGTGCTCGCGGTGCCCTCCTAAACGCCAGCCATGAGCTTGAGCGAACGCCAGTGTGTCGTGAGGCTGAGCACAGCCTGGCCCCTCCACTCCGGCTCCTGGTGGCTGTCTGCTGTGTCCCCTATCGGGGAAGAGGTTTCTCTTTGGCCCAAGCCCACCTGCCCCTGCCTGAGGGAGCCCTCAGCCACTACGCTCAGCCCGTCAGAAACCTGAGAGCTCATGTCCACGACAGGGCCAGCCAGTGGGGAGAGGACCCGGGGCTCCCTTGGAGGCAGGGCACTGCTCGTTCCCGCGGCCGCTCGGCCCCGCCCGCTCCCTCCACCCCGATTTCCCACAGGGCTTGCAGGCATCGCCCCAAACAGACTCTGTCACCCAAGCCATGTGCCTGGGCCTGCCTTTGGGTGTGGATGGGGGGTGCCTGGCGGGGGGTGCCTGGCGGGGAGTGCTCTGAGTGCAGGAGCGGACACCCAGGCTGCCCGAGGAGGGCAGGGCGTGAGGACTGGGACAGCCGCACCCCTGCTGCTTGGCACGACCCAGTGAAGGAATGACGTCCGCAAGGGCCACGTGAGCTTGGGGCGGGCGGTGCCGGTGGAGGGAGAGGCAGAGGCTGTCAGCCTCTCCCCACCCCTGCCTCACGTGGCCACGCCCGACGTCACCGTGTCTTTCTTTGTGAGAGCTGAGTCCACCGACCCCACCTTGTTTAGATTAGGTTGGAAGTCACCTGGGCTGAGCTGATGGCTGATTCCGTCAGCAAAAAGAACTGTGGAACATACTGGCACTTGGGCCGGTGTGAAGCCACCCCCCTGCCATGAAAAATGGCTCTTCCCTGCCACAGCCGGCCCAGCGGGAGCCAGGTCAGGGCCTGGAGACACAGCGCCCCCCACCGGAGCCACTGCCCGGCCCAGCAGCACCTGCGGAGAATCCCACCAGCTCCCACGCCTCCCGCCGCGCCACCGCCCCGGCTTTCTGCAAATCCACCTTATGGAAGCCGGATAAGGTGAAGTCCACATATAACTAAAAGCGAGTTACTGAGGGTTACTTTCTTTGCAGAGTGGTTCCCCTAAAGGATTCCTTTAAACATGATCCGGTCAGCCAGTGCTCACTTACGTTCACCAAGTCACGTCGGTTTGTGGCGGCAGGAGCCCAGCGTGCCAGGCACCTGCGGGAGGGGAAGATGCTGGGTGGGGCCCTGCTTTCGACACTTTGCATCTTAAGCAGGTGAGCAGACAGGCACACATTTGCTCACTCAGTTCCTTGGGGTAGCTCTGATGGGCAGGGAAAACACACCAAGGGCCAATCGTGTGGCACCGACTCGCCGTCTCTCTATTGTATTTTATAGAAACGGTCTCACATTCGCCCAGGCTGGAGTGCAGTGGTGCAAGCATAGCTCATTGTAGCCTTGAACTCCTGGGTTCAAGCCATCCTCCCACCTTAGCCTCCCAAAGCGCTGGGATTACAGGCATGAGCCAACACACCTGGCCGGCACCAACTCTCAGCCACGCTGTCGCAGACAGCGGGGCCCCTGCTTGCTGCTGGATGTCACCTCCCAGCCCTGAGAGGCTGGGGATGGGAGCCGGCAGCACTCCTTTGCACAGAGCACCGCAGGAAGCACTGGAATCCGGAAAGAGAGAGGGTGCCGTGAGCAGACTTCCCGGCAGGCGTCAACCTCCTGTGTGGTCAGGAGTGCAGGCGCTGGGGCCGGAACCCTGGGCACTCGACCACAACCGCCTGGGCAACGTGGCCAAGTGGGCGCGTGTCCTGGGGCTCTTGCAACAAGCCAGGTGGCCTCAACAACAGATACTGATTCCCTTACAGCTCTGGGGACCAGAAGCCCCAAATTAAGCTGTGGGCAGGGCTGCACTCCCTCCAGAGGCGCTAGAGGGGGATCTTCCTTGTCTCTGGCAGCTTCTGGTGGCCCAGGCGTTCCTTGGCTTGTGGCTGCCTCCCTCCAGTCCCTGCCTGGCCCTCCCACGGCCTCGGCCCCTCTCCATGTGGCTCTCCCTGGGTTTTCTCTTCTCTTCATGAAGGCGCTTGTCCTTCACACCAGGCGCTGTGGTCCAGCCTGACAGCCCAGGACGATCACGCTGCCAGGTCTTGACCTGATTATATCTGCAAAGACCCTTTTTTCAAATAAGGTCATCTTTACAGGTTCTGGGACACAGACAGATCTTTCTGTGGGGACACCATTCAACAAAGAGGGGAAGCCACAGCCAGACCCCCCTCCGCTCAAAGGCTTGCTGTTTCCTATGTTGCCCGCCACACTCCGTGTCTATAGAGCTGGGACAGTGGCAGTGCCCACCTCAGAGGTCACCGTGCAGATTAAATTCATCCCTAGACACGAAGTGCTGGGTGCAGGCACAGAGAACTGGAAGGAAAGGTTTCCTGTGACCGTGTGCTCCTTCTGCCCTCGGCTCGGGGTCTCTGCTGTGCTCGGCGTGGGTGGTGATGAGGATGTCACTGGGTGCACAGCTGGCCCCGCAAGCTGCCCGGACCCCAGGCCTCCCCTCTTTCCAGCCAGGATGTTGTGTGCTCACAGCCTCTCAGGGCCACAGGTGCAGTGACTGCTGCTGCTGTGTGCTTATTTGCTGCAGAGACTCCACTGGGGCCAGGCTGAGCAGGACTCCCCAGACATATCCAGAGGTCCTTCGAGAGGGCCGCATGGCAGGCACAGGGTTGAGGGGCCTGGTGGCATGGCCACGGCTCACCTGGGAGCGCAGGTGGGAAGCCCCCACACCTAGCAGAGTGCAGCTCCTTCCCGCACAGCCACCTGCGCTCCTTGGCCTGACCCCGTAGGGCTCTCAATAAGAAACGGGGGCTTCCCCTCCTCCAGTCTCACCCTCAGTCTCCACGTTGTCTCCACCTAGCACCTCCTCCTCTGATGCGTCACAGTCACAGGTCCTGGTGAGGAGGGAGCCACGCCAAGCACAGCGGCTGGAACAGGGGCAAGTGGGTGCCCACCCCGAAGTGCAGGCAATGAACTTGTGCTGTAGCCCATGGTGAGCTGTGGGGCTGTTTGTGACTGCAGCGTAGCCAAGCCCATCCCGCCTGATGCGGCCTCTTCATCCAGAGTGGGGGTGACGTGCCAGCCCCCACCTCACCGGAATGCTGGGAGGAGCGTCTCCACGGAAGGAGCTCACTTTGTCAGCTGTAATGTGCTGTGACTATCGTGTGAGTTCCCGGGTCACTGTAACAAGTCCCACAGCCTGGGGGCTTCAACAGAGAGAGCCTGAATGGCTCTCTCACCATTCAGGAGGTGGAATCCAGGGTCAGGGTGCGGCTCCGCTGGCTCCTGAGGCCTCTCTCCTTGGCTCTGTCTCCTGCTACTGTCCTCACAAGGCCATCCCTCTGTGTGGGTCTGTGTCCTCATCTCCTCTCCGTATAAGGACACCAGGCAGATTGGGCCAGGGCCACCCCACCAGCCTCATGTTACCTTAACCACCTCTGTGAGGACCCCATCTCCAAGTAAGGTCCCTTGCGGAGGCATTGGGGCTTAGGGCTGCAGCATACAGATCTGGGGGAGACACACGGCCCCTAACAGTATCAAGGGTGGGTGGGCCCTCATAGGATAGGACAGCCGCCCAGTGGGGAGACACGTGGCCCCTAACAGTATCGAGGGTGGGTGGACCCCCATAGGATAGGACAGCCGCCCAGGGGGGAGACACGTGGCTCATAACAGTATTGAGGGTGGGTAGAGCCCGATAGGATAGGACAGCCTCCGGGGGAGACACGCGGCCCATGACAGTCTCGAGGGTGGGTGGACCCCCACAGGACAGCCGCCGGACATTTCCTCCTCTGCTAGTCTGAAAATCACACTGTCTTAGGCAGACAGGGAAGAATCAACATTTCCATGCCAGGCAGAGGCCCCCGGAGCGCAAAGGACCAGAGGATCAAAGAGCAAACGTCACCCTCAGGGTCTAACGTGCAGGTGGCAGGACCCCGGCCCTTCCTGTGTATCTGATTGTGGGTTTTGTCTCTGCCACGTGCAGGGATGGGTGCAGACTCCGTCCAAGGTCTTGGCAGGAAGAGAAAACTGCCACTGCAGAGGGGCTGGCTGAGGGGCTGGGATGGGGTCCCCGGGGCGCGGAGCTGCACACCAGCCCCTCGCACCTAGGCAGAAGGTCCATTGCCCTCTGCCCCGCAGCCTGCCCGTTCCCAGGCCAGCGAGGGCGCTCCCAGGCCGGTCTGCAGCCAGAACACAGCCCGTTCCATGTGCTTGTCCTCGGGACACATTAGGAATGAACCCAGGCCTCAGTCCTGGCCTCCTCCTCAAGGCTGGGTGCTCAGACGTCCCCCTCAGCCCCTTTCTCTAGACCTTCCGGCTGAACAAACGAGAACATCTCACAGCCCTGCAACAGCCAGGAGCTGCTCGTGGAGCTCCACGCCCGGCTGGAGAGAGAGGAGGCACCCTGGGCAGCCCGCCAGCACCCAGGCTCTCACAGTGGAAGCCCACGTCTTCTTGGGCTCTATTTTGAAAGCTGTTCTTTCCACGACGGCTTTGACAAGAATCGATTTGAGTGAGCCGGCGTGTCAATACAGGCCAGCACAGGACTGGCCTCAGGGCCACATTGGGGAGGGTGGCGACCAGGCCCTGGCTGCAGCCCACGTGGGCAAAAGCATGGCCAGGCAGGAGGTGGGGCCTGTGAGCTTGGCTACAGCGACCGTGGGCGCTGGGCCCGGGGCTCCTCAGCCCTGAGGGGAGACCCAGGCCCAGGCAGGCTCCCAGGCGGGCTCCCGGGCTCCCAGCCTTCCGATCTTCTCCCTTTGAGACCTTGCCTTCTGCACAGTGACAGGAAAGAGCCCTGAGTCCCACTTTGCAGGGATGTATTGCATTTCCAGAAAGTTCCTTCCGGGTGCAGAGTGATACATGAACCCTGGGGACTCACTCCAACTTGGTATTGATTTTCTCCACGGAGGACCCAGCAGTCACGGCCCGTGTCTGCACAGCCCCTTGGATCCTGCGGAGGAATTCAGCCGGCCCCTCCCCCTGTGCCGAAAACCACGGAGGCAAAGCCAGGCCAGGTTCAGGTTCCACGCAAAGCGCCCTCCTGTAGCCAAGCCCAGCCCCATGAGGTCAGGAGGCCTGGGTGGGGTCCCAGGTGGGGAGGCCGCCTGTGTGGGGTCCCAGGTGGGGAGGCTGCCTGTGTGGGGGCTCCCGCCAGCGCCCCTCCCCGCTCATGGAGGCACAGGGACAGCCATGTGTGCCCGCAGGACGCCTGGCTCTGCCCACTCGCCCCCACAGCATGCTGAGGAGCTCGGGCTTTGCTTTCTAGGGTACAGTGAGAACACGGGAGAGGACTGAGAGACCGCTGGCTGCCGAGGGAGGAAGAGCAGGATTCGCACCCCCGTCATCGCTGGGCCCACACGCCGCCGACAGCTTCCGCGTGTGGCCATCTGTCTTTCAGAAACCCTCTGGCAGAGGGACCCAGCAGATGACACGGGGGCCGTTCACACTCTGAAACCTGCCTGGAGTCAAAACACTGCTGGCGAGCCTCCACCGCAAACCCAATCCAGATGGTCTTCCCTGGTGGCCCTCGGGGTGGCGGGCACCCTGCCCACTCCCTGCCAGCCCCTGCCCGCTGGACTCCAGGCCCGGCCGAGCCCCCGACCGGTCTCCTGACCCAGCATGCTGCTCTCCCCTGGGCCCGGCTTTCTCGCCCGCTGGGACTCCCAGGCCCCTCCAGCCCAGCCCCGAGAGCAGGAGCCCCAAGGGAGGCTTGGCGGCTGTGGAGGCGAGTGGGCCACGTGTAGCTGGGAGGCCGGCAGGACCAGGAGCCCCTCACAGCGCAGCACCCACAGCATCACGAGCCACTTCCACTCCTGGGTGGCCTGGGGGCCCCCACCCTGCTCTGAGCTGCCCCTTGTTGTGACCTGGGGTCCCCCGTGGTGGGCCCGCCCCTTGAGCCTGGGATCCAGCCTCAGCGAGGCTCCAGAAGTGTCGTCTCCGCCGGCCAGGCGTCAGCGCCTCCACCCAGGATCACACACTCCTATCTCTGCACTTCTGCCCTCCATCCTGCTCCACGCCGCCTCTGCTTGTTATTCCAGCACATTCCAGGGTGATGCCTGCTGAAGCCACGCAGCCAGTGCCTCCACCCTACCCCCCATCTGACCCACCGGCCCCTTCCGCACGCTGGAAGCCTGCCCGGCCTGAAGTGTCCTCACCTGTCGCCCTATCCTCCCCTCCACTCCAGCCCACCGGTGACTCAGCCCTCACAGCTCTCTCCTCCCCGAGGGAGCCGGTGACTTGGCTCTGATGGTGCCGGGACCCAGCCCCGGCATGTTCAGAATCCTTGTCCTTTAACCTGCGTCCACATGTAGTCGCCTCCACCTCCCTGCCTGAACCTCCAGGCCCTGCAGAGCAAACACTGCTGCCTGCAGGAGACCCCTGGGGCCTTCTCCGTCCCCTCATCCTCCTAAGGAGCCTCCCCTGCCACCGTGCCAGAATGTGCCGGAGGAACAGAGGCCCGAGCCTCCCGTGGCCCCAGCGAGGCTTCCTCTGGGGAAGACAGTGAGCCCAACGCCCTGGCTCTCGAGGGGTGGACGGAGTCCAGCTGGCATCGACCGGGTGCCCCTCTTCACCGGTGTCCACAGTCCTTGAGAGCAAAGGTGGTCCCAGCAGTGGAGCAGAGGGCAAGGGTGGGGCATGTAGAGTCTCCAGGGAGCCACTGTTGGTTAGAGAGGGAGCCCGAAGTGGGCTCCGGACCCCAGCAGGGACAGCGTCCCCTTCCAGCGGGGGCAGCCGATTGATCTGGGCACACGAGCAGGAGGAGCGGCGCCACCCAGGGCTGACCTCACGGCCCTGCTCACGTCTCGGGGCATTTTGGCAGACCCACCTAGACCTGGGGGACAGCCTGATTTCCTGCAGCCATGA
Source organism: Homo sapiens (assembly GCF_000001405.40). Lineage (NCBI taxonomy): Eukaryota > Metazoa > Chordata > Mammalia > Primates > Hominidae > Homo > Homo sapiens. Next base: position 43,452,771 of record NC_000021.9, read on the forward strand.
CCTACAAGGGTGGCAGCTCTCTCAGGCTTGAGTAACCAGGACACAGACCTGGGCCATTTAATGCGCAGGCAGCCCCAAGTCCCGGCAGGGCCAGAAGCAGAGACGGCGGCTGGGGATGAAAGTGCACGCTGGTCCCAGATGGGGCTGGGGGTGAAAGCTGCATGCTGATCCCTGGGCCCCCTCACTCTATGAGCTCCTGAAAGGAGGGAAGCCCCCACACCCTACTGAGTGGAGTGCTCCTTGGCCTGGGACCCCGTCCAGTGTCTGCTGCTGTGGGGGCGGGCTCTGGGCAGAGAGAGGCCAGACAGGCACCCAGGAAAGCTGGAACACATCCCTCCTGCTTCCCCCAGGGTTCCCAGAGGCGACCTCCCTCCTGCACAGGCATTTGTCATCCTTACCCTCTAGGACAGCTTTGCCATGTGCAGTGAACCCCTGGACAGTGTTGCGTGCCACTTTGCCGGATTTGGACTGTATACAGACCGAAGCATGTGGCATGAAGCCTTCTGCTGTCAGCAAGTTCCTTGTCCCTCGACAGTATGTGCCCAGGCTGCCCTTCAAGGTGGCAGTGATGGCAGTTGTCTCTTGCACGCTGCGTACAGTTCTGTCACTGACTCTTACACACAGCCCTGGAGACGGGAGAGTGCCGGGAGCATTCTATGCAAGTGTCCTGGCCTTTGCGGGCGTCTCCACAGCACAAACACGAGTCAGGGACCACCCCTCTTCTGCTTCCATGATTCCACCAACTGGGTGGGGCAGAGCAGTGCCAGGGCCGGAGGCACGCCCCAGGTGAGGGCAGGTGGCCATGCCAGTGAGTGCACTGCGTTCTCAGTTAATTCATCCGAAATATTTCTAAGTTTCTTGATTATTGCAGTTGCATCCCCAAGATAATGCCGCCCTCACCAAGTAGAAGGCACATGTGCTCTGATGGCCCCTCCCACACTGGGGTCAGGGCACAGCAACTTAGCGAGGCGACGTGGGGGCTCAGAGGACCTCGGACCAGGCTCGGCACATGGGGCTTCTCCAGCCAGCCAGGGGGAAGCACCCTGCAGACTGCTAACTTTTGCAAAATAGAGTAAAAAAGATCAGCTAGAAAAATAAAACAAAAAAGGAAAGATATACAAAATACAAGGCCATTTATATTGTTGCATTTAACAGTCATCAACTCACTCCGTCTGAGGGGCGTTGGCATCTGTGGACACACTCAGTGCCGAGGTTTGTCCCACTGCGGGCAGGCACAAGCGGCTTCCTGGGGGCTGGCCCTCGCCTGCTCTGCGTGGCTGTGCTGCATGGGACACTGAGGCACCCGTCGGCTGCTCACTGCCTGGCTGCATCTGTGAGGGAGGAAACGAGCTGGGTACCAGCTCAGCCTCTGAAGACCCCACGGGTGCCCTAAGCTGTGATGTCTGTCCCCAAAGTTCATTTTGGGTGGGAGTGCTGGGGGTGCAGGGACAGAGGGTTCCAGCTCACCCAGGGCCAGCCCTGACCAGACGGCAGGAACCAGGGTCTGCGGCTGGATGCAGACGGCAGGCAGATCATTCTGGGGAAATCCCTTTCTTAAACCACATACTGTCCTGGGCTGAGCAGGCCCCCCTAAAAACTCATGTCAACTCAGAACCTCAGAATGTGACCTTATTTGGAAATAGGGTCTTTGCTGATGTAATCAAGTTAGGGTGAGCTCACACTGGAGTATGGTGGGCCCTCATCCAATGACGGCATCCTTGTAAGAAGAGGGAAGTCAGCCCCACAGATGCAGGGAGGACAGCCACGTTTCAATGGAGGCAGAGACTGGAGCCACACAGCTGCACGCAGAGGGACGCCCGGGGTCACCAGGAGCTGGAAGAGGCAGGGAGGACCCTCTCCTCGGGCCTCCAGAGTGGGCAGGGGCCTGAGGATGCCCTGATCCCCAATTCCAGTCTCTAGAGCTGTGAGAGGCTCAGCATCTTAGCTCCCCAGCGTGTGGCCTCTGTCAGGGCAGCCTTGGGAGCTGAGCCTGGCCCCTAACTCTCAGGAGCTCTCCCACAGACGGGGTTCTGCATCTCCCGAGCACGTCCGAAGCCCCCTTTCCACAAGGGCCACTGCTCGCCAGGCTGACGGTGACCGCCACTTCCCTAGGGACCCACCTTCTGTTCCCAAAGGCCCTGCCTGACACCTGGCCACTCAGCCCCACCCCGCCTAGCCTGCACGCCCCACATGTCCACGGGGTCTTCTCTGAACGGGCCTGGCCTTTCGGTGGGGAGGCGAGGACTCCATTTGAGGGCTGGCCCCTGATTGCTCCAGCATTTCAGTGACATTGTGCCCCAGGCCGAGGGAAGACTCTGGAAAAACTTCCCACCAAACTCCTCTTCTGCAGAGTTGAGCTGACAGGAAGTCTGTAACTTTCCTGCAAAACGTTATTCTACCCCCGCCAGGTGAGCTGAGATGGCAAAGGCTGACGACAAGGGTCCCGGGAGTCCCCACAGCTATGGGGGAGGGTAACTGGCCCCCCCCCACCCTGTGGGGAATAGCAGCAAAGCTTCACACAACCCCCAGGGCCAGTGTCTGCTGCTGAGCGCAGGTCCCACCAGAGCCAGCACGAAAGCCATAGAAAGACAACCTGAAGTCACCAGTGTCCCTCGGCAGAAGGAACAACCCGTGGTGTCTCCCGCTCCCTCCCTGCACAGCCATGAAAAGAAAGGGCCTGTGTACTCTAACAGCAGGGAGAACACAGTCCCCAAGACCCCCACAGGCTGGGAAGTCAGAGATCACAGGAGAGGTCACCTCTGGGGGTCATGACTCGGGGGAGTCCCTGGGGGGGACCAGGGGTTCTCTGTGGTTCTGGCGTGCTCTTGGAGGGACTCACTGACACGCACGGCGGTTACACGGGCGCAGACACGCAAAGACCTGAGCACGAGATAAGATTTGTGTCTTTCGTGGTACGTCAGCTTTACCCCATTTTTAAAGACTTTCAAAAATGTTATTCTGGGCATATGCTTTGAACAGATTGTAACCCCACCCCAGAAGGAGGACCTTGGATGTGGAGCTGGCAAGCTGGAGCCGCCCAGGGCTGTCCGTCTCCCTGTGGCTTCTTCTCCAGGAGGCTCCCGGGAGCAAAGCCGAGTCGGCAAGGCCATCCGCCCGCTGAGCAGGTGTTGGCTGCCTGGGTGGCACTTCCTGTGCTGAGGCTCAGGGCTCTGAGCCCTCATGGCACATAAGGTCTTGAGGACAGTGACCACACAGCCCAATCGGCCGGGCAGGTGGACTTAGGAGGGAGAGCCGGAGGCTGCAGAGTGTGCTCCGAGGTACCCTCCGCCTGGGACTGTAAGAACAAAGAAGGCTCTGGGGTAAGGTGACAGGGACAACTCCAGCAGAGAAGCGGAGGGAGGGGTGGAGACAGCACGAGATGACCGGAGACCACATGTTGGGTAGTGCCGGCGGGGGGAACTATGGGAAAGGGATTGGGCCTGGCATGAAGACCCCCAGCCCAGCCCCGTGGGGGTCCTAGCAACCCCAGAAGTCCTGCTAAGACCCTGGCACAGACCCCACTTCCCTGAGACTCAGCTTCCCCATCTTTAAAGTGAAGCCTGGCGCCTGCCTGTGAGTGCGCTGAAAATCAGATGATGGCAGCCACAGAGGCGCTCAGCACAGCGCCCAGCGCAGGGCCGGGACCCAGAGTGGACTCTACCGTGGGGCTGCCTCAAAGAAATCTCAGCAAACACAGGAAGCCAGCCCACCCGTGCAGCCATGGGGCCAGGAAGCCCGCCCTTTACCAAGTCATTTGGGCATTTTTTCTCTGTGCTAACAGCCCAGATGGAGCCATAGCCTCAACCTCTGTGTTCTGATAACACCAAGCTGGGACGCCGGAGCCATGCAGGGGACAGTGCCCGGCCTGAGGCTGCAGCCTGGGTCTGGATGCCTTTCTAATTCAGGGCCTCCTCATGGCCTGGTTCCATAAATGGTCAAATGCAGCCTGACAGCGCAGCCTCCTATCAGCGCTGGGCTCCGTACCGCCACACAGCCCACATACCCCGTTCCCCAGGAGACGCCCGCAGGTGGGCAGCGTCACTCCCACCCGCCGAGCACACGCTGTCCCCGTCTCGTGTCCCGAGGAGCCGGAAGCAGCTGCTTCCTCCCAGCCTGAAAGCTGCACCTCGGGCTGCACTCGGCTCCCCGAACCCGCCCTCCGCTGCCCTGCAATTCGCCAAGGGAGCTACCCTTCCCATATAAAAATTTCACCTCCATTTCCTTGTAGAGAAGAAACATTTCTGACAGCAAGGAAGATTCTAATTTGAAAAGCAAGTGATTCATCTCCCGGTGCCAAACAGCAGACGCAGGCGTTACCAGTCTGGGTGGGGCGCCCGAGCTGGGGACCTGGGGTCCTCTGGGAGGGGCAAGAAGGCAGCGATGCTGGCCCCCGCCTCCATCTGCCCATCCCATCTGCTTCCACACACCGCCCTGCCGTAGCTGCTTGCAGCCCTTCTCTGTCAGTTTCTCCATCTTTTGGTTTGGTGATAAATGAGAGTTCCCATCGGGTGTGCCACCCTCTGTGTGACGGGGAGCAGAGAAGACCCTGCGTCCAAGTCCTCCTGGGGGAAGAGCGAAGATGCTGGGACCAGCCCCAGCTGTCAGGGGGTCTCCAATCCCAGCAGGGAGGCCCCACGCATGGCTAGGATGCCCCAGACCCCAGGAACTGAAGGAAGTGGAAAGGAGGGCCCGCAGTCCTAACTAAGGGTTCAGACACCCCCCCAGTGCACATCCAGGCACGCCCCCACCCCCTAGGCCTGGTTCTAGGTCTGCTAGCTCCGAGAAGGCCCCTAACAATGACGCAGTCAGAGGGGCTGCGCTGGGCTCACGCTCAGTCCCACTGCCCCAGGGGTAGATCCGGCCCCTGGCCCACGCGCTGTGGAGCCTTGGAGTGTCTGTGCGCCCCTTCCTTGGAGGGCAGCCGCTGAGGGGCTGCTGCGGGACCGGGGAGCCTCCTGGCAGCAAGCACTCCCAATGCGTTGCTGGGACGCTGTGATGGAGACAAGATCCTGGCTTTGAAGAAAGCCCTTTCCACCCTGTCCATGTGGGGGTCTCCCGGTGCCCCTGAGCCAGCGGCCCCCTCCTGCAGGCTCCGGAGGACTCCCCTGCCTGCATCTGGTCTCGCATTTCCTCCGTGACCTCCAAGCTCCCACTGGGGGCACACGGCTGCCCCGCTGACCCCAACTCTGACCCTGTGCCGGTGGTGGGCAGCATCTGGCATGGGGGAGGTACCATTTCTTCCACACTCGCGCGTCCTCAGCCCAGATCATCCGGTGAAGTTTCCCCAGCAAGTGGCTCCCCCTGCCCCCTCCACCCTGCCAAGTGTGGTCCCTGGGCCCCCGACTTCCCTTCTCAGCCTCTGCCCCTGGGTCTGGGGCATGCATCCAGCCATCCACGCTCAGGGAGGCCACCTCCTCCCTCGCTCTCAACCACCACAAAGCTGCCCGGGACCTTGTTCTATCCTTTCCAAAAGTCCTCAGGACCTGCCTATCTACGGAGCTCCCAAAACGCCCTGTGAGCTCTCCTGGGCCCCTCCTCTCCTTGCTAATAATGTCCCACATGGTGCTGCCTGCCTGGCCCCAAAAGAAAAGGACCCTGGAGTGAGTTCTGAACACAAACTCGATGAAAGTGGCCCCCTGCTCCACCTGCCGAGTCAGCCCCTCCTCAGACTCTCCCCTTGGGCAGGGAAACCTGCCGAGGCCTGACTGTTTCTTCCTGAAACAGCCTCAGGCTGGAAGGAGAGGGATCCACCCTTGGCCATTGAAGCATTCAGCAGGAATCAGCCCTCAGGGACCGAGACCCTGCGACCAGCCCCGCCCCACAGGTGCCGGTCCTGGGCAGCCTCCCTTGCTTAGGCCACACTGCTCCCAAGAAGCCAGGATGAGCAGCTCGCAATAGGCCCCCAACACGCAGAGTGCCATGCAGAGGACGGGGGCACCCCAGAAAACTGCAGACACTGCATGTCCTCTGGGAGCCCCGGCCCTGGGAGACGATGTGCAGTGGCTCCAGCTCTGACCTCATGAGCCCAAGCTCCGCTACACACTGGGTCCTGACCTGACCTGGGTCCCGGCGGCTCTCCGGCCAGGCCTCTCCCGGTGCCTCCCGCCCCTGAGGCCGGCACCCAGCATCCAGGCCCCTGTATAGTCATCCCCTCTTCAGGAATCTGGGTCATGGCTGCAGGATAGGGGCTACCCAGAGCAGGATGTGGAGGGAGGGGCCGCAAAAGCCGGAGAGAATCCACAAGGCACTATTTAGCCACCTGCCCTTGATTCTAATTCTCAGTGACGAGATTCTTTGCTTGGCCAAACTCTATCAGGCCCTTGAGCCTTCTAGGCCACCTGCACACTTCCTTGCAAAATCCGGTTTTAGCAAGAACACTGCTAAGTGACTTCAGCCAGAACTGCCCCGCCCCGTATCTGATCATCCTCGTCAGGGCAGCATGCTCGTCCTCCGGCACCCAGGTGATGACGGATGACCCCGCCTCCCTTCAGCCAGAACCCTCCCACCCCTGCTGTTTGTTCTTAGTGATGTTCCATCCGAGGACCCCACTCTGCTCCTGGGCTATCAAATCCCACTCGCTGGAGCCATATTCAGAGTGGAGCCTAAATCTCTCTCCACCACTGCAAAATCCCACTGCCCTGGTCCCAGCACCCACCGCACTGGTCCTGAGTAGTCCCCTTCCGGTCTTTAGCAAAGATCATTGAATAAATTTCCTTTCATGTCAGGCACACCCTTAAATGCAGACGTGTGTCCTGGGAGGATTACCAACACTCCCCCGGCCCTGCACATCAGCTGTGGAAGGTGAGATTGGGAAGTGCTGGCCTCCTTGCCAAGGCTTCAGCCTCCATTTCTGCTTTTCAGGTCATGTTCGAACACTGGGGGTCCCAGGAGACCCACCCAGACCAGGCCCCTCTCAGGGTGGGAAGAGCGTGGAGCAAGAGGAGGAGGCTCGGCCCAGGACGTTGGCCACAGGCTGACCCGTGCAGGGGGCAAGGGCTTAAGACGGCCCCATCTTCCACTCCAAGTGTGGTCTCAATCTTGTTGGCCAGTTTATGAAAGTCAAGCCTACTGACTCAGTCAGGGTCTTGGCAGGAAGGAGGCCAGGGCGCAGACAGAGATAGGGATCGCTCCAGGGGTGTGTGGCCCTGGGCTGTGGGGCAGTCCTGGAGCACCTCCACCCCAGCCTGCAGAACACCCAGGCGGAGCAGGAGCAGAGCTGGGCTGTGTAGGGGTTAGGGGACACGGCCAGCCCGCAACCCCAGCTCCCCTCCATCTGCCTCCAGTTTCCAGCCAGGGCCCCCTCTGCCAAACCTGGCCCGAGGCAGGGGCCAGGGCTCTGTCTACTGGGGCCACAGGGAGGGTGGGGAGGGGGCCGGAGCTCCCAGGGCAAGGGGAGGGGCCACCCCCACCCCGTCACGCGCATGGAGGAGGAGGAGGAGCCCACACTGCCCCAGCGTCCACCCCACGCCTACACCAGCCCCACATGAGCTCGGGGGTCTCTGGGGGTCAGTGTCTGCAGCTACAGATGTGAGCACGCATGCGGGTGTGCAGGACCTTTGACCGCAGCCTCCCATGCACCCCTGGAAAGGTGCCTTGCCTCTCTCCCTCACTCGCCATGTGCAGGGCAGTGGGCGAGTCCCAGCCAGCATGGGCATCCCGCATTTCTCTGCTTCTGCAGCCCTGACTGACCATGGCCCCCCAAGTGGGCTCCAGCCCTCCAGGCACCTCCCCGTGCCGTGGTGCCCACCACAGGGCCTGGTCTCAGGGCTCCTCCAGGACTGGCCAAGTCCCCAGGCTCCTCCCCCACCCATGGGGGGAGAGGTGCACAGCACTGACGGGCCCCTGGGCCACTCATCTGAACTCTTGAGTCCTCCTAGAGCGGTGATCCCAGCCGGGCAGTTAGCTTGAGCGAGCCGAGTACTTACAGGATGTCACCAAACACAAGGTCCCAGCCCACATTCCATGACCTCAGCACTGCTCACGACGTCCTCCTGAGTCCATGAACTTCTTGACGGTTCTCATGGCCTCCTCCTGTGGACAGGGCAGGGCCGGCAGGTGAGGCACCTGCACGCACACCTAGCTCGACTCCCCAGGCCCACCCTGCAGACCCTCGGCCCTCTCCCTTCTTCCCACCCACCACTCTGGAGACGGGGCCTCCGGTCCTGGCCGCCCCTGTGGAAGAATGAGGGTGAGCGAGGGGCTGGGTCAGCAGCACGGCAGTGGGGGAGCCACCCAGCCTCCTGGAGGAAGCGGCCGGGCAGCGCTGGCACCGTTCCACATCCCTGCTGGAGCAATGGGGCCAGCGTGGCCGCCCCACCCAGTCAGTGGTCCCCACCTGGCTGAGAGTCCCCAGGAGGCAGCACCCTCTTCCTGGGAAGTCAGGCAGGGTTCTATGCAGGAGCCGACACTCACAGGGCTACCACAGGCCTGTGCGGACCCCAAGAGCCAGGAAGCCGCCTGCCGATGGTCCCTCTTAGGGACTGGATCGCGGGCAGCTCAGACGGCACAGAGTGCTTCCGGGTCGCAGTGTCCTCATGTTGCGGAGGCCTGAGCTCCCTGGAGGAAAAGCAACACCTTCCAAGCCATGCGGCGGAACGCTGGTGAGGCTCAAAGCCCTGGAGGTGACAGCCCCCAGACAGAGGCGTGGACCGTGTTTCCCTGTCGGCCCCTCCTCCAACCCCTCCACCAACCGCTCCGCCAGTGGCAGGTTTCCCACCTGTCTCCCAGCCCCCTGGAACTCTCCCCGGGCCTGCCTCTGGCTGTTTGCTGGGCCCCCCGTGGGAGCAGCACAGCGGCTGAGTGCCTGGGCGTGGCCCTACTGCCTGTGGGTTTCCAACGGGAATTTAGAGTCTGAAGGCTGAGGACCCTAGGGGACCACCCATTAGGGCTGAGGGCTCTGGAAAGAAGTTCAGGACAAAGGAGTTTGGGGAGAGCGCTGGGCTCATTTTCCTGGGGCAGACAGAACCAAGTGCCCATCACGGTGCAGCTTGAACAGCAGGCGTTCGGCGCCTCTCAGTTCCGGAGGCCGGGGGTCCAAGGTCATGGTGTGGGCAGTGTGAGCCACCACACCCAGCCCAAGTCCTTTATACATCTTCTCAGGGGGTCTGTGTCTTAAACAGGAAATATTCAAACGCCCTTTCTCTAACTGAAGTAGGTTTTCAGATTACTTTTACGTTTATAAGATATTGTGGCTACTGACGGTTTATTTTTTGCAATTATAACCGGCCCACTTTCCCGGGGTCTCCCTACACGTGCGGGGCGGGGGAGAGACTCCAGAGGGGGCTGCGGGAAACACAGGGGAGGGAGGCCTGGGGCTGGAGACGGCGGCCGCTCCTCATGCGTCAGGGGCCTCTTTCGGGCCGCCATTGCCTTAGCAGCGCCAAGTTCTTTCTGGGGCAATCGCCGCTGTTGGTTTCATCTCCCAGCACTGCCCATTGGCCGCAGCACCTCCTGCCCCCACGGTGCACTCCCTTCTGCGGTCATTTCCTTCCCTGGGGTGGAAGCAAGTGTAGAGCCAGCTCTTAGAGAGAGGCAGGCCAGCCATCTGCAGAGTGGGAACCCTCCTGGGCCCCCTTGCCCTCCCCACGTCCGAACCTGTCCCGTCCCCCATGGGCCCGCGCCCCCGCCAGCAACGGCATCCCACACTGTGCGCCTGGCCGTCTCACACACCCCACACTCTGGGCTGACCTTCAAAGGGAAGCTGCTGTTTAAATATTTAATCGTCCTTGGAGTGCCTGGACTTAATCATTAAGACCCTGAATCAAAAGAGGAAAAAAAGCATTTTAAAGATGACTGAAGGCCGGGTGCAGTGGCTCACGCCTGTAATCCCAGAACTTTGGGAGGTCAAGGTGGGCAGATCACAAGGTCAGGAGTTCGAGACCAGCCTGGCCAACATGGTGAAACCCCGTCTCTACTAAAAATATTAAAATTAGCCTGGCATGGTTGTGGATGCCTGTAATCCCAGCTACTTGGGAGGGTGAGGCAGGAGAATCACTTGAACCCCGGAGGCAGAGGTTACAGTGAGCCGAGATCACACCACTGAACTCCAGCCCGGCCAACAGAGCAAGACTCTGTCTCAAAAAAAAAAAAAGCAAAAAAAACAAAAACTAAAAAACTAAAAAAAAAAGATGGCTGAAGCCTGTGAAAACACTGGGTTAGTGATGCTTGTATTCTCAGCCCTGCAGGGCTGCGGCACCTCCACCTCCGGCTTGGCCTCACACTGCTCCCGGGGTGTTCCCTTTGCTCTGGAGGCAGGGCTGTGCACCAGCCAGGCCTGAGACCCTGTCTGCCCTCCAGGACCTGCTGACCCTGCTAGATCTTCGGTCCTGCCTTGCCCAGCGGCCGACTGAACAGAGCCCCTGTGGGCCCTGCATGGCCACCAGGGGGCTACTCCACGGTGGGGTCAGGGGGCGAGCGTCCCCCTCCCCGTCTCGGGGAGGGACGCAGCTCCTGGCCTGCATGCGCCCACCATGGACGGGGAAGGAAGGGGCGCCCCCTTCAGTGTGTGAACCCCCAGCAATCCCCTCTGCGGGGACCGCATGTTTTCTATACAGAAAGAACTTAGCTCACCAGGGACATTTTGCTGAAACAGCTTGTAAAGGATGGCGCCTGGCTGGTGCCTCTGCCTGCTATGGGGTGCGGGAGGCAATGTGGGAAGCTCCGTACTCTCTGATCGATGTATCGGTAAAATGAAAACTGCTCTAAAAAGTAGTCTTTTAACTTAAAAGAAAAAAGGAGAATAATTAGGCCAAGGGCTTGGCCATTTTCTGAACAAGTCTAGTTTTGTGGGTTTCCAGCTGCCTCTCTGAGTCTCCTTCTGGGCCCCTGCAGACACAGCCCCCTCCTGGGGTAGGGGCGACCTGCCCTGAGCAGTCTGTGCCCCGGGCTCCCAGAGCTGCCAGTGTGTCCAGGCTCTCCCCAGCTATCCGACTCCTGGGGAGCCTGCCAGGCCGGCAGTGGGTGGGTATTTGCTTGCATTTGCTTTGACAAATCGCCACTCTGTGTGGAGGTGCCAGGAGCGTGATTTACTGGGTGTGTGATGACTACGGCTCCCGTAGCCAGGCCTGCCCATCAAGCAGTGCTTTTGGCTTTCAGTGAGGGGTGGACTTTGCCGCGGGGGATTGCCGGCTAGCTGATCAGGACCCCAAGTCCTAAGAGGCACCGTGTCCACTCCACCTGCCCACGGGAGCTCCGTGCCCAGCGGTGGGCCCAGAGGGACGACGACCTCCTGTAGAGGGGGCCCCCACCAGTCCTAGCAGCCAAAGGTGCTCGAAGAGTGAAAGGACATGCCACACTGTCCTCCTAACAGCAGTGACCAGGGCAGGAGAGCTGCTATTTCTGGCCTACGGCCCATTTTTCAGAGTCAATTCATTTTCTAGGCAGACACACACATTCCTACAACTCTTTTCTCCAGATCATTCCTTCAGCCAGCTGGTTCTCCACCGGGATTCCAGGAAAGAATGAGGCCTTGCAAAATGCTCTGAATGGCTGTTCCCACCAAAGGTGGTGGGAGCCAAGCCCTTTCCAGGTACAGAGGGAAAGAAGGTGGTTTCGTGGGGTCTTGGCGTCAGCTCCACTCCCTCCCAGATCACTAGTGCGAAGGGACATGCCAGGCCTCTCCTCTAGGACAAAAACTAGTGTTTCTCTTGGATTCACTGAAACAAGCTGGGCTGCCCCTTCTTACAGATGGGGCTTGGGGCCCGTGGAGGGGAAGGGCCTGCGAGGTCCTGTTGGTGATAACCAGGCCAGCCGAGAGCCCGGGAAAGGGCCTGTCCTCAGTCTGTGCCTTGGTGTCCTCCCACCCAGCCACAAAGGGACTCACTCAAGGTCACAGGGCTGCAGCGGGCTGCGTTCAACCCAGTGGCCCCCACACACTCCTTCAAGGACCAGCATCCCATGCCCAGCTTCTGCCACTTCCTCTCTGGGCCTGTGCCCAGCAGCAGGACAACCCTTGCCACAGGCAGAGCAGCCCCGCACTCTAGTCCATTGAAAAGCCTGGTGAGATGCCAGGCCAGGCCATGAGCGCGGAGCCTGGTGGCGCGTGTCAGGAGGCGGCGGTGGCAACCTTGACGGTGGTGGTCCTGACTCAGGAGTCTGACTCACAAGGACTCCAGAGGAAGCAACTGACAAAACGTGTCTCCCGACGGGAGGGTGGCCCAGCTGTGAGGGCGTCTCCACCACCTCACCATCATCGTCAGAGCCACAGGATTTGGGGGACAGAGGAACATGGTAGACGACACTACAGAGACAGCCAGCAGAACCCAGAGTGTCGGAAATTCTACAGGACAAACAAAGGACCAGGTTTCTTCAACAGATAAACGATGAGTGATGTGTGTGTGTTGGGGGGGGGTGGGGGGGACGGAAGCTCTGGGCATTCCGGAGGGACTTCAGAGTCACAGAGAGCCTTGGACTTCGTACTCAAACAAACCAACTCTGAAAAGACAGGAGACAACCAGGGAAATTTCAACACTGCTAGCAGATTATCACAAAGAATTCAAGGGTCGTGTTTTAGGTGTGATAACGGTAGCACAGTTATTTTTTTTGGAAGAGTCCCTATTCTGTACAGCCACGCACTGAGGTATTTCTCTGATGAAATAAGGTCAGGGATTGCTTTAAAAGACTCCAGGGAGAGGAGGGGTAAGGGGCAGTGGATCGGGGGAGGGAAGAAGGCTTATAGGTCAGATGGGGCTGCCATGATACTGCTCCCTCTCAAGTTCTTGATGTTTAGAAAAAATGTATGATAAAAAGTTAAAGGTATATGGCCAAAAATTAACAATAATCACAAAAACAAGCCTGTCCTTACAGTGAGGCCAAACTCTTTCCTGTCTTCTAACTCTAGCCCAGGGGTCAAAAACAAAGGGAGGACCACAGGCCCCAGGGAGGCGCAGGAGGAAAATATTAATACTGTCCTTTCAAAATCTCATCTTTTAAAAGTATTTAAAATGCCCATATTCTATAATCTATGTAATATTTTACTATTAGCTAGTCCATTTGACAAGTGTTAAAAAATCAATGTATCAGGCTAGGCGTAATGGCTCACACCTATAATCCCAGCACTTTGGGAGGCTGAGGCGGGCGGATCACCTGAGGTCAGGAGTTTGAGACCAGCCTGGTCAACATGGTGAAACCCCCGTCTTTACTAAAAATACACCAATTAGCTGGGCAAGGTGGTGTGTGCCTGTAACTCCAGCTACTCAGGAGGGAGGCAGGAGAATCACTTGAACCCAGGAGGCAGAGGTTGCAGTGAGCCAAGATCGCGCCACTGCACTCCAGCCTGCGTGACAGAGTGAGACTCCGCCTCAAAAAAAAAAAAAAAAAAAATCAATGTGTGTACATGTATCGGGAGTGTGCACTCAAACTTTTGATTGTTAAAGGAGGGTTTTCACAAAAGCTGGGAGACCACCCTTCTAGAACCCTGCCCTTGTAGGTCCAAGGCTACGCGCCCTGGCAGACTTCCATGAGCTGCGACTACCAGCCACCAAGACGGTGTGCCCAGCCAACCCTGGTCCCCAGCTAGCTCTGACCCCTGCCCTGCCAGCATCACCCTGAGATTCTTCTGCAAATTACAGTCTTCTCAGACTGTCTGTCGACCCTGGGGTCTCAATGCTGGGTTCTCAACAGGCAGAACCACAGGGCTGCATTGCGGGTTGTCTTTGAAAAATGACCTGCCAATAGAAAGTTGGGGACGAAAGCCCTCCAACAGTCTGTCCAAGCGACCCCCAAGAGAAACCACAGTGGGGTGCTGGAGGGTCCCCAACGAGGCACCCCCCCCCCTCCGACCACCCTGCTGTTACTTCCACCCACATCGAAGTCCTAGGGTCTCTTCTAATTTCCTACTTGGCCGTGCCTGAAATGCCACTTCCAAAACCCGCATTCCTATGGTTGCAGAGGCCACAAGGGAGGGCCCTCGTGGTATTTTTTCAGGACCCAAAACCACGAAGATGCCAAGAATCACAACTTTCACACAAAGGACACACTTTCTTTGATGGAATCTTCAGATCACACATCACAAAGGCAGCACGCCATCAGTCTTTGAAATGTCCCAAAACACGTAAAGAATGTTCCGCTGCAGATCCGGCTTGTTTCACGGGTGTGTGGCCTCCTCTTCCGAAGTCATTTCATTCTTCGGGGTCTTTGACACGCTCTGGCAACAAGCGCGGAGAGGTGAACGGGGCAGCGTTTGTGCTGAGAGTGGGCTGAGAGCGCCGCCCTGCCCACTCCGGCCTGGGGCATCCCATCTCTGCCAGGTTCTGGGCTTTGCATTTTCTTTTCATTTCATTCTTCCCAGGCAAGAGCACAAGGAAACAAGCAGAAGGAATTCAGAGAAACAGCTCCAGGCTCCAGCTCAAAGGCCGACACCAAAAGCGAACACCTCTGGGCGCTCTTGCCTTCAAGAAGGTGGGGAGGCTCACAGACGCAGCATCCACCCCTCGCAGGGAACCTCAGTTCCTGGCCTGTGGTCCCATGAAGGACATCAGGCTGGCAGATTGGAGCACACCCCTTCTTTCTAACCCCTCTTGAAAGCTTCCTTGAATCTGCCAGTCCTGCCCCCTGGAGCAGGAAGGAAAACAGAAGGCCTAGGACGCTAGAGGGGTCCCGAGCTTTCCGGAGCTCCAGCCACCATCAGGTCTGACTGCTCAGGGACAGACACACCGACCACATCCTGACCTCAGGATGACCTGCGGAAGTACTTGGCATTTCTTCTTAGCCAAATCCCTTCATTAAAAGACGGGTGAGGGTTCCAGCGCTGCCCTCTTCCTTCTCAAAACTCTTATTTCAGGGCTGAAGCCCAGACGTCCAGCCCGTCAGAAATCCCCTTAGCCTGAGCTTGGCACCCAGAAGCTAGAGAGTAAATGCACAGGGGCCGGGGTCTGAGCCCTTCCGCAAGGATGGGGATGGGGGCCACAATCCACACACACCACACCACAAACCACACACCACACACCCACACACCACACACACCACACCACAAACCACACACCACACACCCACACACCACACACACCACACCACAAACCACACACCACACATTACACAGCACACCACACACACACACCACACACACCACACACCACATACACACCACACACCACACACACACCAAACACACCACACACACCACACACCACACACACGCACCACACACCACACACACCACACACCACACACACACACCACACACACCACACTTACACCACACACACACCACACACACCACACCCACACACACCACACACACCACAAACCATACACACAGCACACACCACACCACACACAACCATACCACACACACCATACCACAAACCACACACAACACACCACATACCACACACCACAAACCACACACACCACAAACCACACACACCACACACACCACCCACACCACACACC